>NC_000012.12:77308612-77460128 GCF_000001405.40 Homo sapiens
TTCTTAGAAAATGTCTCTAGTTGCTATTCCATCGTTTTCATAATTTCTATAGCCAACACAAATATTACAATCTTTTTCCATGTCTTTATGGATCACAATGATGCTCACTTGGCAAATAGGAGACACATTTCAGTTTTATTAATCTGTGCATAGAAGAGTATCCCACTAGAGTTTAGCTTTTTTAAAAAAAATTTCTCTCAAGAGACGTGCCAAAAACTTGCTTTGGAATCAAAAAAGGTATCCTCAACCTTCATCATCCCCCAAAGATATAGGGGTTCTTTCATAGTAGGGTAAAACCACCTTTGGTTGACAGAGGCCTACATTCCTCAGAAGAGTAACAACCTTGTGTTTGGAGAATATAAAATGAAAAGATCCCCAACAACCTGGGGAGGGAAAGGGAAAGTGGTCTCTGAGTGGCTCACACTGAACCAATCCAGACCCCAAAGAACTGAAAGCCAAGAGCTACAGCATTGGAAACTCAAGTAAGGGGTACCCTTGCCCTTGTGTTAGCACTGAGGGAACGGGCTCCTGCTTCCATGCTGAACGACCATAGCCTGGAGCTGGGTTATCAGGTCATTATTTCAGAAATGGGTTGGCATTGACTTTTGAGTTTTATAGAACCCAACTTCCATAGTTCCAACCACACAGTAACAAGAACCACAGTGTACTAGAGTCCAGTGTTCACCCTTATTGGATGTGCAAATTGGGCTTCGTGGATGCTGAGGGTTTTAGTTGATGAAAGGAGGGTTCTCAAGAAGAATATACGTGACTATCTACTAATAAAGATACTAGGGACTCAAGATATTATGGGGAAGGTGAATTTTTTTATTATTTATTTATTTATGTATTTATTATTATTATTTTTGAGACCAAGTCTCACTCTGTTGCCCAGGCTGGAGTGCAGTGGCGCCATCTTGGCTCACTGCAACCTCCACTTCCTGGGTTCAAGCAATTTTCGTGCCTCAGCCTCCTGAGTAGCTGGGACTATAGGCATGTGACACCACACCCGGCTAATTTTTGGACTTTTAGTAGAGATGAGGTTTCACCATGTTGCCCAGGCTGGTCTTGAACGCCTGACTTCAGGTGATCCATCCCCACTTTGGCCTCCCAAAGTGCTGGGATTACAGGCGTGAGCCACCACACCCGGCCAAGGCATTTTATACTAATTTCATATGCAAGCATACTATAATTTATAGGATATCACAGGTTTACTCAGGATAATCTCAGTTTAAACCTGTTATCCTGGTGTAATTTTGAATAGTTTTCTCTTTATCTTCAATGGTTTCCTAGTTTGGGTGATGTATTATGTGATTTCCCTTCCTATAAATCCAAAATTCTGAGGTATTGGTTTGAGGAGGGGCCTCTTACCTCCCATATGAATTAATATTGGGACTTTGGTCCTCAGACACACACAAAAACTATGCATTTTTTGAAATACTTGACCAATCAGCTTTCCCACAAAGACCACAGGCTGCCTAGTATGTCCATTTTTATATAAACTAGAGAAGAGAGTTGTAGGCTTCCTCTACCCCTCCACCTTCCCCTCAGTGGGCAGGATGTGCAATGTCTGCTCTGCTGTGCATATTCCACAGAAACAAGAGGGACAGGATAGTTCTTTAGTGAAGGAATAGAATTCAGGCTTACTAGCAAGACAAAGCTCAGTGAATCTCAGACACTGATCAATTGGAATAGCTTCTCTCTTTTGGGTGCATGCAAGAATGTTGCTTTTAACTCTTTTTTTTTTTTTTAATAGGAGAGAAAACTCTTACATGGACAACTCCCAAAATGAATGGTGTGACTTCTTCAGCCTATGGTTTTCTAATTGGTCTCTTTGTTCCCCACATATCTCTTCTTTAGTACATTTTACACTTGATCACTGCAAAACACAAACATGAATTCAGATTGAACTTTCAAGGCCCATTACTATCTGGACTCTGACTCTGAATTTAACTTCATCTTTTTAGTTTTTTTATGTCCAGGTCAAGTATTAACTTCCTTCATTACAGAGCAATCTCAAATGTAATGGGCAATATGAATGATCCTGGGATCCACTGAAAATGAAGATTCTGATCCACGGGTCTGGGTTGGGTCCAAGATTCTGCATTTCTAACCAGCTTCCAGGTGATGTATGTATTGCTGCTCCTCTGGGCCACATTTTTAGTATCAATACTCTGTAAGGCCTAGTTAAACGTCTCAAGCTCAGTTTAGACCTTTTTCTTCAGGACGTCCAAATTAAGAGTTGCAAAATTGTCTTTGATTGTTCTTAATGACAGACTACTCATTTTGAAGCATATAATCTCTAGGAGTCCTATTTAAGTGTTTCATTATCATATGCTGTCATCCCATGTAGATAGAAACTCTTTTAGTGCAGGCATGGTTTTCTATAACTTTTGCAGTCTTCTGTAGTGGGGTTACACTGCCTTGCACGTGGTAGATCAACAATAAATATTCTGATTATTCTTGAGAGGTGACTTCCAACTGTTCTATCACATGAGATCCTGAGATACATTTAAGTGTACAGTTTGGCAACACGCAAATATTTTAAGCAAATTATAAAATATATTGAAGTTAGAAAATCTGACCCATCTGAAGAAAATACTTATTTAAATTATGAAGTTACAATGACAAAGCAAGAAGTAAAGTTCTTTGCATATTAAAGGTGTTATAAATCTCAATAGATTTCAAGAACTAGGTTAGGGAAGAATATGTAATATTGGTTTGATTATACTAGTTCTGGAAAACACACAAATCACAAAATTATTGGTTATCATCCTGAAAATTATTTCTAAACTCATTTATGTAAAATTCATTTATTGGCCACAAGTATAATAAACTGTTGTGGGTAGAGTATATCCTCACAGTGAGTTCCTATTAAAGAGTTTTGAAGCATTTCAAAAGATAGACGGTCTACAGAAATAACATGCTGTAAACACTCTTCAGAACTTTAAAACAGAGTTGGAAACCTCCCACAGACATCAGGATGTAACAGCCTGTAGAAAGGCTGGTGGAAATTTTAGCAAAATAAAGGAATAAAATGGTCATAAATCTTGACTAAAGACTTTGAATCTCAGTTTTCAAATGAATATATTGATTGAGTCATCTCTTAAAGTTCTCAAAGGAAGTCTTATGTTCCTGAGTAAATTTTATGGATATAGATGTTTCAAAATATGTGCTTTGCCAAGGGTTTGCACTTGCCTTCAGTGGAGCAAATATATGTCTGCAATAACTTTAACCTTTTCCTCATGAAAATCTCATCACTTCTTTAGGATCTCATGGTTCAGGAAAGAAATTGAAAGGACCAAATATTTTCTTACCTTTACCTCATTTTCTATGGGATTTTTATCCAATTTTGCTTCATTTTCAAATTAATGAAATATTATTTGGGCATTCCCCACTTATATTCTTTTTGGTAGCATTGTTAAGAAAGAAATGGTTCTTATACAAACGTTCTTAAGATGTGTCTTACTCTGTTTTGTGTTGTTATAACAGAATACCACAAACTGGGCCATTTATAAAAAATAGAAATTAAATTCTCACAGTTTTGGAGGATGGGAAGTCTAATATCAAGGTGGCAATATCTGGCAAGGGCCCTCTGGCAGCATCATCTCAGGCAGAAGGCTGAGGGGCAAGAGAACACAAGCGTGAGAGAGAAGAAAGGGGCCAAACTCATCCTTTTATCAGAAATCCCCTCCAATGATAACGAACATATTCCCTCAATAATGGCATTAGTTCATTGAGAAGGGCAGAGCCCTCTTGGTCTAATCACCTCTTAAAGGTCCCACCTGTTGACACTGTTGCACTGGGGATTAAGTTTCTAACACATAAACTTTGGGGGATACATTCGAATAACAGCATTCCATCCCTGGCCCCTAAAATTCATTTCCTTCTCACATGCAAAATACACTTATTCCACCTCAACAGCCCCAAAACCTTAATTAATTCCAGCATTAACTCAAAAGCCTATAGTCTGGAGTCTCATCTGAGTCAGATACGCGTGAGACTAAAGGCAAGATTCATCCTGAGGCAAATTTCTCTCCAGCTGTGAACCTGTGAAACTAACATTACATATGCTTCCAAAATACAATGGTGAAGCAGGCATAGGATAGACACTTACATTCCAAAAGGGAAAAATAGGCACAAAGAAAGGGGTAACTGGTCCCAAGTATACCTAAAACCTATTGGGGAAAATACTATTGTCTCAAAGATGGATAACAGTCTCCTTTGACCCCATGTCCTGCATCCTGGCACGCTAGGGCAGGGTTTGTACCCCAAGACCTCAGGCAGTCCTGCCCCTATGGCTTAGCTGGGCTCAGTTAATGCAGCAACCCTCATGGGCTGGAGTCTCATGCATGCAGCTCTCCCAGTCTGGAGTTGCAGATTGGCAGCTCTATAGTTCTGGGGTCTCTGAAGTGGCCTGTCTCCTACAGCTCCACAAGGCCTTGCCCTAGTGGGGACTTTCTGCAGTGGCTTTACCTCTGTGACAAGTTTCTGCCAAGACCCTCAGATTGTCTAATACATCCTTTGAAACCTAAGTGGAGGTCACTTTGGTGCCACAGCCTGCATAGTTGGCATGTTTGCAGAGTCAGCATCATGTGGACACTGACAAGGCTTACTGCTTGTGCCCTCTGGAGCTGCAGCATGAGCCACACTTGGCCTGCTTGGACCACAGCTAGGGTAACCAAAGGGAGTTGTGCCAGAATTCAGGGAGCAGAGTCCCAAAGTAGCATAGGGTAGCAAATGCTGAGGTCCCAAGACACCTCTCTGGAAACCTTGCCCTCCTAAGTTGTCTCGAAGATCTCTGAAATGCCTTCAGGGTCATTCTCCCATTGTGTTGATGAATAGAACCTAGGTTTCTTCTATTCATATTAACCTCTTTAACAAAAGGTAGCTTGGTCATGGTCTCAGCATTCCCTCCCAAACATTCTTTTTCATTCTTTACATGGCCAGCCTGATAGTTTTCCAAATCTTTCTGTTCTGCTTCCATTTTAATTATAAATTCCATATTTCAATTTCTCTCTTTCCTCATTTTATTGTGCACAGCTACAAGAAGCCACACAGCACCTAGAACACTCTGCTGTTTAGACATTTCTATGGCCAAATATCCCAGTTCATTGCTCTTAAGCTCTGCCTTCTACAAAGTCCTAGGACACAGACACAATTCTGCCAAATTCTTTACAACTATATTACAAGGATGGCCTTTCCTCCAGTTTCCAATATGTCATTCCTCATTTATTTCTAAGATCTCATCTGAAAGGCTTTTACTCCCCATGTTTCTACTGGCATTCTAGTCATGACCATTTAATTAATCTCTAATAAATTTCAGAATTTCCTTATAGCTCTCCTATTCTGATCCCTCACTAGAATTGCCATTAACACTCCATTTACAGCAATCTAGGCTTTTTTCTAGCCTGCTCCTCCAAATTCTTTCAGTCTGTACCCATTACCCAGTTCCACATATTCAAATATTTATCATAGCAACAGCCTCACTTCTCAGTACCAATTTTCTGTCTTAGTTCATGTTGTGTTGCTATAACTAAATACCACAGACTAGGTAATTTATAAAAAAAAGAAATTTATGTCAGTTATTGGAGGTTGAGAAGCCCACTATCAAGGTATCAGCATCGTGTGAGGGCCTTCTTGCTGTATCATCTTAAGGCAGAAGGCAGAAGTGCAAGGGAGCACAAGTGTGAGAGAGAGAAAAGGATCTAAATTGATTCTCTTATCAAGAACCCACTCCTGTAATAACTAACCCACTCCCACAATAATAGCTTTGCCTTCATGACTGAATCTCCTCTTAAAGGTCTCGCCTTTCAACAATGTTGCATTAGAGATTAAGTTTCCAGCAGAAGAACTTTGGGATACATATTTAAACCATAGAAAGCTATTAGTGCAATTTTCTTATAAAGGATATAATCTTTACCAGCCCCAGTAGCTGACATTGTAACTGGATACTGCTTACAATTAAGGGTGGGGACTTAAATAAGCTTTGATTCTTAGGTTGATTAATGATAATTGGTATTAACATAGGACAAACACAGTTGTTTGACACAAGTAGTAAGTACCCCCTTTTTGGGTACGACTCTTGATAGAGCTGATAATGAAACTGGCTTTGTAAGTGCTTACAACTTCAACAAGTTTATAAATTACCAGGAAAACCTCCTAGTCTGCAAAACATCAAGGAGACAGACATTAGCATTTCACATCTGCTCTTCTGTGACAGTTATTATAGGAGCTGAGATATGACTCTGCATTTCACATCACATGATTCTGTTTCCATCCATTCTTACAGTGTCTTGGATTGTGGATTGTGGCTTGAGTCAGTGTTTATGCAGAAGAGTTACACAGTGAACAAAATGTCAGGGGGTCCAAAATGAAGTGCCACAATTTGTCACAGAGTTGGGGTCCTAACTGAGCTAAATTATAGACTCTTTTTAGTAAACAGAAAATAATTTTTGAGAGTAGAAAATCAAACTAAACCTCTGCACACACATACTGTCTCTCATACACACGTATACATACTTTTGATACTATTTGGGGGCCAATAAGGAAGCATTTAAATAATGCTTTTTAATGATTTTAATGAAACATATGCAGATCAGAAATATGATAGCTCATTCTTATCAAACATGTAGAGTGAACACTTACATGTACATTTTAATATATTAGGAGCTCAGAGGTTTAAGTTTTTACTCAGTAACTCAGAGTTAAAATATAGATTAAAATACCTTTATATATGTATGTGTGTATAAAATTTGATATACATAACACACATATATATATTACATAAAACGTAATATGTTTTGAATATTTGGGGATTATATTCATTGACAAGTAGCTTTAGGTTAGATGAGATTATGGAGAAAAGCTGTCTTCATGCTATTTTTAATGAGTTATTTTAGCACTTAGTACCTATTTGCCCATTATCCACATTATTTGTAATATGTTGACTTTGCTATGTTTGAACTTCCAACATCTACAGAAAGGGGGCATTCTACGAGTGGAGTAAACAAATCAATAAGTCGGTCTGTGTTAAGTTTTTAGTTCCCAAAGGTACCTTGCCAAAAGCATTAATGGAAGCCCATAACCAATAGTTGGAAGCTAATGAAATCTCTCCCCAGCTGGCCCTTTCCAATCCCTTAGTAAGAGAAAAAGGTACGCTCTTGTTACTATGCTTGATGGAATGAAAAGTAAAATTGTACACTCTATCCACCACTAGTTACTACGAGAGTTCAGGACTGTTCCTTCTCTCTTTTTATTCCATGTAACTTCCCATTTAAAACTAGGAACTTTGAATGCATGGAAATAAACAGAATTTTCTTCAGAGGAGAAATTTTATGAAGAACTGTTGATCTGAGGCACAAAATTCTCATGTTTATGAATTTTTCACATATTCAATTAGACTCCCTACAGGGCTGAATGAGGGGTGATACTAGCTTTCCATTTATAATATTTTATACTTATTCATTGGCTCTATATCCACTGATAAGGATAATTCAGTGGATAATTCCTCTTCCTATATATTGAGCTACTGAAGTAGAAATTCCCCTACCTAATTCTGGATTCCTGAAAGAAAGTGGAACAACAGTCTTTTCTTGGAGTCTCTACCTAGCAAGTCCCTCTTGAATTTTTATTTGTACTGTCTCTGTGTGGCAAGAAATGCTTCCATTTTTCTAACTTTATCTTTTCTCTGTATCATCAAGCCCGTGAAAAAAATTATTCTCCATTCCATTTTATTTTTATGCTAATTCTCCTATTTTTGCTGGTTTTTCCCAATAGATAAGAAATCTGTGTAAGGGTTGACCAACCACTAACTTTTTTTTTCTGTCTACAACTAGAAAATCAGGATTGTCCTAACAGAAACAAGGCAGCTAGTTTGAAGAAATTGGATATACTCAGCTTGTTTTGATTCTATATTTATTGGTTATTTATGGGAATATATGCCTGCCAGGGAATTCCAAGTCACAAAGCTTAAGGCAGGTGCCAACCTCCTCTTATTTCATTACCTCAGTTTGATGTCAGAGGTAGGGATTTTTGTAGAATTTTTAGACCATAGCATGGATTACTGTGATCAGCATTCATATAAATTTAGTATAAGAAAGGGCATTTTGATAGATTAAAAAATCATGAAAATAGGTAAAAGTGATTTAATGCTAAAAAAGATAATAATCTGGATATATTGTGGTTTCAAACACTAGATATATTGTCTGTCTGTATTGTGTGCACTCTATGTTTTGTAGAGGTTTGTAATTCTACTGTCATAGTTTACAATACAGAAAAGTATAAATCTGCTGCTACTGGTGTTCATTCAATCGAGTACCTCTAAGGAGTCCACACAACTGCTTATAGCTCTTAAACTTGTCCTTATTGAAGATTCTTGGTGCTGCTGCTCTCTAGATCAACAGTAAGCGTTGTCATGAAGCCTTTGGGAGAGAAAGAAATGTAATTCTGAGCACTGATGAGAACAGAAATGCAGGAATCACAGCTGGCCAGTCTCATTTTCTTCTGGGTTACCAAGGCTATAAACAAGGGAGAGTGGGAATGGCCTGGAAATCAATTTGCAGAATATTTAAAAGGTCACCGTGGTCCAGAGTAGTGTGCTGCATTACTTGGAATGTATGATGTGAACAAACGTGTATGCCATATCTCTAATGACAACAATTGTGATACAAGAGAGGAACACGGTGCCCGTCTCCTGCTAATGGTTTTAGAATAGACTGAAACATATTTTCAGGACTCTAATTTAAGCTCACCTTATACCATGTTTTTGGGTAACTTATTTTGTAGCGATTTTATTTATCTATTCTTCTTTAAACTCTTTATTTTGTAAAAGTTTTAAACCTGTGGGAAAGTTACAAGTCTATTACAATTCACCTATATTCACCTCTCACTAACATTTAGTCACATTTGTATCCTCTCTCCTCATATATATTTATAAATGTATACATGTTCACAGACATACATATGTAGACACACACATTCTTTTTAAAAAATATTTTTAATTTAGCCGGGCGCGGTAGCTCACACCTGTAATCACAGAACTTTGGGAGGTCAAGGCAGGCAGATCACATGAGGTCAGGAGTTCGAGACCAACCTGGCCAACATGGCAAAACCCCGTCTCTACTAAAAATACAAAAATTAGCTGGGCATGGTGGCACATGCCAGTAATCCTAGCTACTTGGGAGGCTGAGGCACAAGAATAGCTTGAACCCAGGAGGCGGAGGTTGCAGTGAGCAGAGATTGTGCCACTGCACTCCAGCTTGGCTGACAGAGCAAGACTCTGTCTCAGAAAATAAATAAATAAATAAATAAATAAATAAATAAATAAATAAATTTAAAACTTTTAAAAACCTTCTTGTAGAGATGAAATCTCACTATGTTGCCCAGGCTGATCTCAAACTCCTAGCCTCAAGCAATCAACGTTTTAAAGCACTGGGATTATAGGTGTGACCCACTGGGCCTGGCCTCTTATATAAAAATTTATTTTTTACCCATGTCAGTGTAAGTTTAGCTGAAACCTCCTAACAACAGGTATATTCTCTTAAATAACTTCACTGCTACTTTTTTTCAGTGGCACGATCTCAGCTCACTGCAACCTCTGCCTGCTGGGTTCAAGCAATTCTCCTGCCTCAGCCTCCCGAGCAGCTGGGACCACAGGCATGTGTCACCATGCCCGGCTAATTTTTTGTATTTTTAGTAGGGACAGGGTTTCACGAGGCTGGCCAGGCTGGTCTCGAACTCCTGACCTTGTGATCTGTCCGCCTCAGCCTCCCAAAGTGCTGGGATTACATGCGTGAGCCACCACGCCAGGGCCCTTTCAAAGACAGGTAGTAATCTAGTCTTAAGATTTTTCTGATTGGAAAATTTACCTTTTCATTATTTTTTTCCAGGGGATCAACTTCATAATGAAACAGCCTCAGATGTCGGTCTATAATGGACACTCTCCACATAAAGGCCTCCTTGTTACTCACAGCAACCTCCTTTCCAATTACTCTTACATGCCCTTTCTTTTCATCATCTTTCTTTACTTTTTGTTCTCTTTACATTTTTCCTTCACAATTGATATTTTAAAAAGCCACTTACTGCCATTCTCTGTTCACCTAAACAACTTAATTACATTTCTGGGAGTTGCTTGGCATTTTTAAGTATACATGCCTGAAAAAAAGCAATCTAGGTGACATTTTGTAGCTTGGTGATGACTATTATTTCCTCCAGGCTTGGTAGGAGATTTCAAACTTTAAGATCTTTCCAGAGTTAGTTCAGTAGCTGATGTAGTTATTAACATTGCAGTTATTTGAAAAAACACAGGCAAAACAAATACTGATAATTTACTCTTAGAAAGCCTTTTCTCTTGTCGGTAACAGCACCTGATGCTTTGGCTGGCAACTCCGAACTCTTTTAGGATATTTTCCTGAAGCCCTCCTCTATTAAGTAGAGAAATTCCACTGATCCCAAGGAAGTCTCAGGGAAAAAAAATGCAATTTAGTAGTCTATTGCAGAACTTTTCAAAAGCAATTGCCAAATAGAGGCAGGGTCTCATACTATAAAAAGAGCTTATCCCTGAATGATCCTCCCTCAAGGGTCCAAGTTAGTAGCCTGAAATCAATTTAAGCAGCTGAAAGGATGAAAGAAGATTTCATGGTCTAGGGTGTCTTATTTTGAGTGCTCTGGTTGGGGTTTTCTTTGGCCGCTTGACTAGAGGCAAAGATTAGTGACACAATGCTGGCTTTCAGTCATCTAGCCTTCTATGCCTGTGGAACGAAGCTGAGGCTGTGGAAACTAGGGGTCCTGTTAATGTCTAGGTTTAGATGGGCAGGACTTTCATTGTTACATTCACACCAAGTCATTAAGAACAGCACTTGCCTTTTTAAGAATAACCAGGCTCTTCTTTCCTCTAAAAGCAGTGACAGGAAGAAGAATAGCCTCTTTGGAAGGCAAATTGGGCTCATTTGTGTAGCCAGAAAAAAACAAAGTTTTGATTAGTTTTTTCTTAGGCCTTGAATCTGGTGGTTTGGTTTGAGAAAAAAGGCAAACATCTTTCTCTCCCACCCTGAGATTTTCCTGCAATGTAATATAGTAAATGAACTCTTCACAACCATATTCATAACTAAGGTGCCCTTAGCTTTTAGTTCTGAATGATTTTTTTTTTTTGAGACGAAGTCTAGCTCTGTCGCCCAGGCTGGAGTGCAGTGGCACGATCTTGGCTCACTGCAAGCTCCGCCTCCCGGGTTCACGCCATTCTCCTGCCTCAGTCTCCCCTCGAGTAGCTGGGACTACAGGCGCCCGCCACCATGGCCGGCTAATTTCTATTTTTAGCAGAGACGGGGTTTCACCGTGTTAGCCAGGATGGTCTGGGTCTCCTGACCTCGTGATCCGCCCGCCTCCACCTCCCAAAGAGCTGGGATTACAGGTGTGAGCCACCCCGCCCGGCTGATAGTTTTCTTTTTTCTGATCAAGTAAGTAGGAATAGGTAAAAATAAAAATAAAAATAAACTACATGCGATTTTTCCATAGTTTTTTAGGGAAAAGGATTTTCTAAAAATTCAGCCATTTTCTAAGTTGTTTTCTTGATGGAGCCACACCACATTGGTATGTTGTAATAGGTTCCTTTTGAAAACAAAGTAACTCTCAAGATTCTTAATATTTAATTGCAGGGGCCTGGCGCATGACAGGACAGTGGTCCTCAAACTGTGATCTCTGGGCCTGCAGCAGCACCATCTGGAAACCTGTTAGAAATAATTGTTAGAACTTCCATAGTAGGAGCTCGACAGATGTTTGCTGAAGATAATGTGGGGTTCTCAATTGTAAAGGAGAATAATATCACTAATACCACGTGGCAAGGCAGTGACTCCCAAAGTTTCGCGTGCATCAGAATCATCAAGAAGACTTGTTGAAATGTAGATTGCTGAACGCCACCCGCAGTGTTTGTCATTCAGTAGATCTGGAGTGCATTTCTTTCTTTTATTTTTGAGACAGGATCTCAAGCTATTGTCCAGGCATGATCTCCGCTCACTGTAACCTCTGCCTCCTAGACTCAATCAATCCTTCCACCCCAGCCTCCCAAGTAGCTGGGACGAAGGCGCGTGCTACCATGCTCAGCTAATTTTTTGTATTTTTAGTAGAGACTGGGTTTCACCATGTTGCCCAGGCTGGTGTCAAACTCCTGGGCTCAAGGGATCTGCCTGCCTTGGCCTCTTACAGTGCTGGGATTACAGGCCTGAGCCACTGCAGGGCCTCTGGAGTGCATTTCTAATGAGTTCCCAGGTGATGTTAATGTTACTGTTCTGGGGCCTCCACTTTGAGGACCATTGTTCTACAACAGTGATTTTCAACCTTACCTCAAATTAGAATCACCTGGGGTTGATTTAAAATCTATTGAGGACTTAGCCCCACCCCAGACCAAATAAATCAGATTCTCTGTAGGTGGGTGTAGGCACGAGAACCTTTAAAATTTGTTCAGGTGATTCTAATCAGCAGCCAGGTCTGAATTCCACTGACGTTCATCTCAACAGAAGTGGTCCTCAATCCTGATTTCTCATTAGAACCACCTGGAAGGCTTTAAAAACCTTGTTGCCTAGATCTCAAATCCTAGAGATTCTGATATAATTGGTTTGAGGTGCAACTTGGGCATTGAGAGTTTTGAGAACTCCTCAGGTGATTGTAATATGCAGCTAAAGTTAAGAACCCTTGCCCTAAATATACCTTCCAGCTATAAGAATTTCATGTTTTAGTATAATCCTATGTAAAAGATACAACATTCAAAGAAAAGAAACATTCCTATGCTGATTTAATCTATAGACATTATATAGGTTCTAAGTTTATCTTGAGCTGATTTCATTAACTATAAAAGTTGGTATATTTATAGCAAATTAGCTAAGTTTTGAATTAAAGCCTTATCCTAAATGGCCATAAAATCCATTTACTTTCCAACACACTTACTTTTTGTTCACAATATATTTTTTGTTTGGAAAGATATCCAAATAATTTCATCAATCATACTTTAATTTATTCACACATTTTCTTGCCAGTTAATGGTTATCTCTGTTATAGTAAGATACACTAGAGCAGAAATATAGACAAGCAAAGGAGTCTGGCCCCATCACCATAATGGATTACTATACTTGTCTGCTTTGCTTGACTCTTTTACAAATTTACACAGCACTAAGGATATGGTACAAGGGTAGAGCAAGACTGCACAGAAATGACAGAGGCCAGAGGAGCCCCTTACATCCGCTGAGGAGACTGCACTTCAGTAGACTACTGAGTCAGGGAAGCCACAGTAAAGCTTTAGAGGTTCCTACCCTAGGCTGTGAGGGAGACCCCTTCTGGGAGAGGGGTGGTGAGAGCTCAAGTAATATTAACCAAAGTAACAAAATGCTCATGAATATTTACAATACACATGAAACTTACTTATACCTGTGGAAAACTGCCTTTGTGCTGCTTATAGTAAATCAAACAAATCATCCCTCCCTCAGTTCTGCAACAGCCACCAAACAGCTGTGTGATGTTGAGCAAGCAACTTCACTTTTCCAAGTCTTAGATTTCTCATATGTAATATAATATTTGTCTTGCAAGGTGTTTTAAGGAATAGATGAGGTAACATGCAAAGCATTTAACCCAGTACCTGATACATACAGTACAAGGAGTTCAAAAATATTAATTCTCCTTTCTATCTCTGTCCTTTCTAGTACTATCACGAACTTTGTCTTTGATCATCATCACAATCATCAACAACAAAAACCTTGTTTCTCTTCTCCCGCTCTCATTCTCTTTCACTCCCCTACCTACCTGAACATTTATTGAGCTGCTACAAAGTCTCAGCCAATGTGCTAGACCCTTGGGAATACAGGGATAAATAAGTTGCCATCCTTTCCCCTAGTACATACATTCTAGTGAGGAAGCAGACAAATAAATGTACTATTATTATTCCTAATGTGTGAAAAGTGGGTATAGAGGCAGCACAGAGAAATGGCACCTAAACTTTGTTGTAGGATCTGGGAGTGTTTGTGGAGGCATTCCAAAGGAGTTTAGTCTCAGGGGTTGAGCAAGTGTTACCCAGATGTGGTGGTGTGGGATGTGGAGAAGAGTTGGGTTGGGAATGTGAGAGAATTCCTGGTGGAGAACAGCACATGTACAGATGGGGTGAGAACAGCATACGTACAGGTAGGGGTAAGCTGGTGCTATATGAGAAAGCATGGAATAAGTTATTAAGTTTGACCTGCTTGGGAACTGAGGGGCAGGTGTGAGGGATGAAGCAGGAGTAGGTAGGGGCTAGATCACAAAAGATCTATGCCAGTGTTTCTCACAGTGTGATTCCCAGCCCAGTAGCATGATATCACTTGGGATCTTGTTAGAAATACAAATTCTTATACATCACCCTGGACTAGACCACCTGAATAAGAAAAGTTGGGCATGAGGCCTACAAATTTTTAAAAAAGTCATACAGGTGATTGCAATGCATGCTAAAGTTTGAGAAACACTCTTTGCTGTGGTTTGAATATTTGTGTCCTTCCAAAATTCATGTAGAAACCATCTCCAATGTTATAGTATTAAGAGGAGGGACCCTTGGGAGCTGATCAGATCATGAAGTCTCCTTTCTTATAAAGGGGATTAAAAGCCTTGGCCCTTTTACCCTTTGTCCATGTAAGGACACAGTGTTGGAAGCAGGGACTGGGTTCTCACCAGAAACAGAACCTGCCAGCCTCTTGGTCTTGGACTTCTCAGCCTCCACAATTGTGAGAAATAAGTTTCTGTTGTTTATAAGTTAACCAGTCTCAGGTATTTTGTAATGGCAGCACAAAGGGGCTAAGAAACTGTTCTATGCCCTAACAAGAAATGTGGTCACTTTCCTGAAGGAAATGGGGATATATATAAAGATGTTATATAAGACTCGTAATATTTATTTGGAAGGCTTGCTCTGCAAGCAAGGTGGAAGAGCAACATGAAGGAAGCGTGGTGGAGGTGAGAGGACTGGAGGTTAAGTTGGTAGGGAGATACAGGAAAGAAGCTTATGACACTTGAGTTAAAATGTAGCATCCTTCCTATGTGTAGGGCTCATAAAAATGTATAGTCTAAGATAGAACACAGAATACTCTATGAATCCTGCCCACAAGGTGTTGGTAATCTAGATTCACTTTTTTTTTCTGATAATGCCATCCATATGTATGGAGCGTCTACTACTGTATGCCAGAGTGACTCTGGAATCGGTTTGGTTGATCTAGACAAGACCATAAGGAGAGTCCCCTTACTACCTCTTCTCCAGGGGAGGGATTCAAGTTGAACTAGTACTTCAGAGACTGTTTAGTAATATCATGCATGAAAGGTGATGGTTAGGACAGAAAAATAAATGGATTGCATCATAATTCCTCAGGTTCTCCAAATATGTGGTGGTCTCAAACCATGTGAATTGGTCTGCACATCCTGTTTGGGTTGCGTGTCAGCAGTTGAGATCTGAGCCTTATTTGTAACAGTGAAACAGTGAGAGACCTGCCCACTGAAAGCTGTTTTTCAGCTAGGAATAGAAAAGGGCCAGGCTAGACTCCTCTTTCTGCTGGATCTTGCTTCTTCTCAGCAATAGAAGTAGACCTGCCTTCCTAGCTGTAGAGAAAAGGTGCCGGTAGGCGGGCAGGTGAGCCTGTGGATAATCCTGGAGTAAAGGTTCAATAGACCTTCAAGTCTATCCTACAGGATTCGGAGTGAGGGGAGAGAAAAGGAGACGCTTCTCTGGCTGAGAGAGGAAGAGAAAAAAAAATCCCAGATATCTGACAGCTATATCTTCCCATCACCACCTTCCTCTAAACCCATGCCTCTCTGTTTAGTAGGACATAAAATGAAGAGTGACCCACCCCCCACCCCCAGCCCATCCCCCGTTTGTAGGTGTGCTTTCAATGAAAATAAGTCGGTGTTCATGGACGGAAACTAGAGCAGCTGAAAATAGATGCAAGACTTGTTGAGCATACAAATCATTTCCCCCTTAGTCTCCAAGGGAGGAAAAAAAATCCCTCTTACTCTCCTTGCAGCCTGTGTTCTGCATTCTGGAGAGGAAGCTGAGGCTGGTCCTCAGGCGCTCCTCCCGCCGTTCCCGCAGGAAACTTTTCTCGCAGGGCCCGCTCCGTCCATCCCGCGCGGTTCCAAGACGGTGGGCCTCCCGTGGGCTCCTCTCCTGGGCAAGGGCCCAGACCCCGCGACGCGCCTGTCTCTTTAAATTCCAGCTGCGCGGCTGGGAAACAGCGCCACTCGCCGCCCAGGCCGGCTGGAGGCTGAGAGCGAGCTCGCGCTTTCGCTCCCGGCTGCGCGCCGCGGAGAGCTGGGCTCGGCCCGCGGGCTGCTAGGTGGCGGCGGCGCGGGGCGGGGAGGCGCGGCCCGGCGGAGGAGGGAAGAAAGAGCGAGCCGGGCCGGGAGAGGCGCCGCGCCCGGTCCCGCGCCCGGTCCCGCACCCGCTCTCAGCGGCCCAAGCAGTTTCTTTCTGGGTGACAAGAATGTGCCTCGGTTGGTTTTTCTTTTTTTTCTCCATCTCCTTAAGACGATTTCCATAGTAACCTGATCAAGTGGCTCAAAATCGCAAACCTGAGGATTTCCGCGGCCCGCCGGCAAGACCTCGGCCAGGTAACGCTGCGATCTCCTCCTCTTCCATTGCAAACCGCTGCGCTCCTTGCAAAGTTCCTTTTGTGGAAAATCGCCCAGCCCAAGGGAGCCCGGGGTATTTGCAACAGCGTGTTCATTTCCAGGTGCCTGTCACGGGTCTCCTCCCTGCTGCTTCTCCAGGACCCATGATGAGATTATTTTTAAAAATTGTTTTTGGTCGTCTCCCCCGCCCCCTCCCCTTCTTTATTTTTTTCCTCTTCGCTGCACTCTTCTCGGCTTTTCCCCTGACACTACTGATGGGGGTGCGGGGGGACGTCGGGGATGGGGGTGGCCAGCGCGGTCCTGGGAGTGGCGGGTTCGGATGGGCTGGCTGCGGTGGGCCACTTTGGGCATCTCGGCGTGGCCTGCGCCGGGGTCACGGGGAGGGCTGTCAGCGCCAGGGCGGCGGAACCCGAGGTCTCCAGACGAGTGAGGGAGGGATGCAGGCTTGGGGGTGATGGAGCGCTTGGCTGGTGGCTGGTGAGCGTCCATACATCATAGCTCTCCTTCCCACTCCCCCGCCCCTCTTCGGGATTCTCTCTTTCTCTTTCCCCGTCCTCATTTCTTTCTTCCTTTACTCACCACTCGCTTCATTCTCTTCCTTCCATTTCCTCTTTTTTTCTCCCCTCATTTCCTTTTTTTCCTTTCCCTTTTAAAGAAAGGGGAATCGTTTGTAACCCTTTCGTTCTACCAACGTGGAATAGCTGTGAAACCTGCAGCGTGGTCACCTCAGCCTGGTCGTTTTCAGACCCGTCCTCATCCATCAACATATTTGTTTCCCGAGTCTATTGATCTCCCTGAATTCTACAGAAATGCATTCTAAGCTAGGCGCCTGTATGTCAGAATCAGTTCTGCAGGTAGCTTCCGTGCTCCAAGTATGACATGTATTGTAAGGGCTGCATCTGTTTTAAACCCACATAAGCCATGGGTATAAATAAATGTAGCTTTGAAAAAAAATCTGGCCTTATTCTAGATAAACTTCCCTCTTAAATTACTGATATACTCTTCTCCCTCTTTGACATTTAATTTTAGGAAAGTTGGGAGACAGGTTCTTGTCCTCCAGTTTTTAAGGAGCAGGCAACTTCTATTATCTTAATTTTCTCGTCTTTGAACATCACTCACGTTTGCACTACCCAGTCAGTGGAACGAGTGGGTCATAATTAAGGTTCAGATTCTAGCTTCCAACGTCCAAGCTGGCTGGAGTGGCAACCTCTGGTACAGGGTCCTAAGAAAACTGGAGAGCCAGGCAGACCTTGCCAAAGAATAAAGGCATAGCAACTCTTTTGTGAAATATCGAAATTCAGACTGTAGTACTGAAAACATGAAAATACAATGAAACCAGGCTTTTAGTTTGTTTTTGGTTCTTAGCATGGGTACAACTAGGTAGGTATAAATTAGTACTTCTTAAAAATGATCCACTCTAGTTTAGAACCTATTCTGCCTTGTTTTTGTTAAGGCACTTCCTTACTATGGTTATATATTTTTTTCTTTGAAACATAAGATGTCTGTATCATGTGAAAACAAAGGCAAAAACCAGGAGGACTTTTATTTGTCCATAAAAATTTTATTTCTGGTTTTTTTATTAAAAAAAAATCTAGTTGTTTTGCTCAAGTTTTCCCGAGGTCAAAATATTTCACGTGGAAAAATGATTCTAATCAATGAGGTTCCTCCGCTCTGTTTTAGAGGTGCATATAGTTTATATAGAAAAAAGTCTCAGTTTGAGAGAGCTCTATTTGCCTCTTTTCCTTTGTCTGCACATTTGTCTTTTAAATTCAACTATTAATATAGGATAAAGGATCTTAGGGCAGAGAATAGATCAGGCAGAAGGGAGACTACTGATATAATAGAAGATATGTACGTAAACCAAGAGAAGTAATTATTGGCATGCCACTCCACACAGTTGTTGTCTTTGTTTTTAGCCAATTTAAAGGCTGTACACTGAAAATGTATTATTTTCTGAATTCTGCACCTAATGCTGTTCGTACCCAAGATCATATTTATCCAGTTCAGTTGAATATTTACAAAAGACTTAAAATTCCCTTGCCACTGAAATCCAAATAGCATGTTCTTCTTCTAAAATTTCTTTTTTTTCTAGTGAACAGTGATAGTAGTAATGGTCCTGCATTATTGTTTTTATCTGACTTCCAATTTTGGTGTTCCCTGGGTGGGTGGGTTTTCCTGACACATTTACAAGATGCTTTTGGCAGGTTGGCTGGAATTTGAAGGCACATTTAATTGTAGGTGCAATAAAATATTCATTTTCTCTTGTTCTTGGTTTGAGATGTCATGCCCTTTTGGTCACTTATATTTTGGTGTGACTGTGTGTGTGTGTGTATGTGTTTGTGTGAAGGATTTAACAAAGTCTGTTCTAACTGTCATGTGATTTGAAGTTAAAAGGTATGTTAGTGACAAGCCACAAATTTCTCTTATTTATAGTACATTGATCCTGAAACCATTTTTTCCCTTGTGATTTCTTCTGTGCATGGATCATTTAACGAAAGGTTGGCAATGATGAGCTATTTTTTTATAATAGGAAAAAAATTCCTCAAGTTTACTTACCAAGTCATATTTTTATACAGAGGGATTAGCAAATATTTCTGATCTAATATTTTAATAGACTGAATTGCTGACCACTGCTAATTACCAAGAATATATTTTCTTAATTCTGAAATTGCTGTACCTCTCAAGTTGTCTGGAGGACTCCAAGTGACCCAACTTGTAACTCATGGCAACAGGAAGTGGTTGTTCTGGGTGCAAGCTGAAGTGTGGACATGGACCCGTACTTTGTTAGCACTCGGGGACTTGATATGGAAAGAATTAATGTACTGGCTTTTTTGTATAGATGAATGTTAACTTTCTGACATTAGTCAGAACTACATCTCCCAAGCCTTGTTTTGCAGTGTCTGTCCCTTTGCTCTTCACTTACAGTAAGTCCTTACTTAACTGACTTGATAGGTTCTTGGAAACTGCAACTTTAAGCAAAAGGAAGTATAATGAAACACTTTTATCACAGGCTAATTGGTAGAAACAAGACTTAAGTTCCCATGGCATATTTCTGGTCACAAAAACATTTCCAAACTTCTCAAAACACTTCAATATTAAGCATTCAAATACATGTAAACTATGTATATATGTAAGAAAGGTTACTATAAACCAGATCAATATTTACCCAATTATTTAAGTTCAGGGTCTTAGGTGGCTGGAGCCTATCCGAGTAGCTCAGGGCACAAGGCGGGAACCAGCCCTAGACAGGACACCATCCTGTTGCAGGGCACGTTCACACATGCCCACACGCAGGCTGGGACCATTTACATGTGCCAATTCACCTACCATGCACATCTTTGAGACGTGGCAGGAAGCAAGAGTACCTGGAGAAAATCCATACAGATATGGGGAGAATGTACAAACTCCACCCAGACAGTGGACCCAGCCAGGAATCAACATTTGGGCAACATTATAATGAAACGAAGTTGAATGAAATGATGTCGTTCCACGACCTGCTGTACTTGAGGGGTGTTATAAAATTCTCAGAAGACAGAGGTTTAATGCTATCTTTTTAATAGAAAATAACTTATAGAGAAGTGTGCACATGTGACTTTGTGTGTAGCAGGAATCATTAGGATGAGAATCAGACGTAAGAGGTGGTGCCAACATGAGGAATGTTGAGATTCAGGGAGCTGTGGATGGAAGTAGAAGCCAGAAGGCCAGGGTTAGGTTCCTACTTCTTACTGTTTCAGTTATTGCAGTGTTGGCCTGTTTATTCACAGATGTCACCTAGCTTTGTTTTCTCAAGAAGAAAAATGAGCATAATCTTTCCTGTTATGAATTCTTAAACACACAGGACATAACCACAGACACAGAGGTGCACATATGTAGCAGTAATGGATACTAAATGATACACTCGGAGGAAACAGAAAAGACTTCTGAATAGAGACTGGAGATACTTCCTTGGACCATTGATGAATGGGCAATGATGCATTTTTGTCTTCCATTCAGAAGGCTAATATATTGCTCTCTATGTTCTATGGATAAAGGCAGTATATGCTCAAGGATGAATCACATAATATGCATAATAAATCCAGCAAGCATTACCCTTTTACTTATGTGACTGCAAGTAGGAATACATTTCCCCCACTCTAACCATGTAAGATTTCTTTCCCTTCTCCCATTTTGTAAGCAAAAGTAAGTTCCTGAAAGGTTAAATGGACCTCAGGATGGGAAAAATCCCCAGAGCTATCTTTCTGCACAGACTTCATTTTTTCTCCCAAGTCTGACTGTCAACTGCGATATCTGATATGAGGCTCTGGTGCTGATGTTTCCATAGGTCATCATCCTTCGGTGTCCCAGATGAAGTCTCAGGTCGAACATTGCAATAGCACAGATTCTGAATTTAATGCATCATTAAAGTTGGTTATGTAACCCAATGGCCTTGTTAAACTCCAGATTTTTAAAATTATATGTATTTACTATTCTCTTATTTTAGAATGATCTCACAATGTTCACAAGAAATAAGCCCAGTCCCTGCAAAGACTTTAAAAGCTGCTTGTTCACATCATTAGATTGTACAACGCTTGTACAATGACACTTTTTGCTAATCTATGCAACATTTTTGTAACAATTGTGCACATTTTAACTACTTCAGATAATCAGGACCTAGAGACTTCAAGATCTGGAAGCATTGCTGGTGACATAGAGCAAAAACTTTCTTGAGAATAGGAAGTCAGTGTTTTGACAAGTGATTTATAACAGTTCAGGTATAGCCAGGAAGGTTTGAAACAAACCTTAAGTATTATTTCTTTCATCTTGATTAGTATATATTTATATGTGATCTATTTATGTATATTAATAGATTTTTGGGTCTTATAGCCAGCTTTCATTTTTCTCTATTGGAAAAGATCTAAGTCCCCATCCTTCCTTGGTGGCTTTTGGTAGGTTTGTAGACAAAACATTGAAGAATCAATGGTACCTTTTATACATTAATACTGCCAATATGACCATAAAATCATATTTTTTGGGAATTTATTCCCCCGATCAAAAGAAGCATTTGTTATTGAACACAGTCTTATGCTACCTTATTAAGATGTATCAAACACCCTGATTGATCAAAAACACCTCAGTCCATTTTAAGGCAGTATTGCCCAGCAATTAAAGATGTAGCTTCTGGAGGAGTCTTTCTGAGTTTGAATTCGTACTCTTCCACGTACTATATAGGTGATCTTGGGTAAACTTCTTGAGTCTCAGTATCCCCATCTGTAAAATTGTTGTAGAGAAGAATTTTTGTGATGATTAGGTGAGAGAATATATTAATGTAATATTTAGGAGAGCAACCAGCATGTAGCATATATTCATTACATATCAATTTCTATATTATTGATGTTCATACTGCTGATGTTGAAATGCACAGGAAGGCCACAGTTATTTTCTGTTTAGATTGATTTTTCTTTTAAAGTCTGAACATAAACTGTAATACTGTGCTTATTTATGTAGGAACTGTGATCTCGTCTCCTCCTTTTCCCATCTCCCCCTCTCTACCTTAGTTTTTCCTTATAGTCTCAAGCTGAAAACAATGACCAGGTGCCTAAGAGATAAGAATACTCTTTCTTTTGAACTCATGGCATTAGCAGTGACCTGGATGAGATTGGAGGCTATTATTCTAAGTGAAATAGCTCAGGAATGGAAAACCAAGCATTGTATGTTCTTACTTATAAGTGGGAGCTAAGCTATGAGGATACAAAGGCATAAGAATGACACAACAGACTTTGGAGACTTGGGGAAAGGGTGGGAAGGGGGTGAGGGATAAAAGACTACAAATAGGGTGCAGTGTATACTGCTTGGGTGGTGGGTGCACCAAAATCTCACAAATCACCACCAAAGAACTTACTCATGTAACCAAACACCACCTGTTCCCCAGTAACCTATGGATATAAAAAAATTAAAAAAAAGAAAAAAAGAAAACTCTTTTTTGCAGGGGGCAGGTAAAGGGTAAGAGGGCATCCCATTTTTGAGTTTCTAGAAAAGCTTATCTTAACCTATTTTTTATATATATAGTGTGAAAGTTATCCATGAATGGCTGGGCGCGGTGGCTCACCCCTGTAATCCCAGCACTATTGGAGGCCGAGGTGGGTGGATCACAAGGTCAGGAGATCGAGACCATCCTGGCTAACACGGTGAAACCCCGTCTCTACTAAAAATACAAAAAAAATTAGCCGGGCGTGGTGGCGGGCGCCTGTAGTCCCAGCTACTCAGGAGGCTGAGGCAGGAGAATGGCGTGAACCCGGGAGGCGGAGCTTGCGGTGAGCCGAGATTGCACCACTGCACTCCAGCCTGGAGGCAGAGAGAGACTCCATCTCAAAAAAAAAAAAAAAAAAAAAAAAAAAGTTATCCATGAATTTTTCTCGAAAGTTGAAATCAGGATTAGCTATAGTATAATGTGTTATAAAAACAACAAATATGTGACAAACATAAATTTCTGGCTTTACTATTACAGAGCTGTTCACTTACAAGCTGTGACTGCCTACTAAAACCCCAATGTAATCCAATACTACAGGTTTGCTAAGGAAGGTTGTGGAATAATTTTTTTGTGAAGTCATTTGAAGTCTTACTTATGAGAAGATGTCATTTGGTAAAAGATGTAATATTTCATTCTTAATTTATTTTTCTTTGTGTGCTCCAATATTCTAGGCTTCATTGCATAAGTAATTTTCTTTCATATTGAGATGGCCTTATCTGAAAAATGAATTATTGAATTATTATACCTATTTAAAAAGTTTTATTATGGAAAGTTTTGAATGGACGTGAAAGTAGAAATGATGACATGATGGATTTCAATGGATCCATCATTCAGTTTCAACAAGTTAGGTAACCTCTTCAGATCCTTTCCTGTGATTCTCTGACTATAGAAATTTTAATTCACTCTGGTTTTGAGAATCTAGAATATCTGCTTTTTAAATAATATTGATCTACTATTGATAATATTGATGCTAAACTGATATAGATATTAACACCAAACATTTAATGGCAAGTCAGTAAACTAATATACACAAAATGATGAGTGAAAAATGTGTTAGAACTGAGCAAATAAAAGAAATCAGGGTTAGAAAACACAAGATTAGTTTGATTCAACATTTAAGCATCTCCTTGAAAGAGCTCATAAGATGTCATGATCAATATATTATCATATGTAAGAATACTTTTCAGGAAATTGTACAATAAATAGTTCTAAAAGTATGTTGAGCATTAATCTTTCATTAGGAAGCTCATCTCAAGATTGTAACTGTCAGACTCGGAGATAGTCCCCAATGACCTTTTCCTATTGCTATTCATGCTTTGTGAAGTCCCCTCCCACGTTATATATTCTGTGTGATCAATAGAAGATGACGGAAGTGATGGTGTATGACTTCTGAGGAAGTATGACTTCTAAGGCTGTCATAAAAGATATTGCCATTTCCACCTTCCTCTATTGGATCACACACTCTGGAGAGAGCCAACTGCCGTGTCTTGGGAAGACTCAAGCAGTCCATGGAGATTCATGTGGCAAGAAAGTGAGGCCCTCTGCTAATAGCTCCAATTTACCAGTTGTATGAAGGAGCCACCTTGGTAGAGGGTCCTCCAGCCCTGGAACTCTTCAGATGACTGCAGTCCTGGGTAACATTTTACATCCTCTTGGGAGCCCCTGAGCCAGGACCAACCAGTTAAGATATTTCTGAAATCCTTACCCACAGAAGCTGTGTGAATTATTAAATGTTTATTGTTAGAAACTGCTAAATTTTGGAGTAATTTGTTATGCAGCAGCAATAGATAACTAGTATTTATAATTACAACCCTGAGGCAGTTTAAGGTTTTTGTATTAGTTATCACAGTTTTATAGATATGTAGAAGTGCCAGTTAATAGAGTTCTAGTTGACAGAAGGCTATTTAAATCTGTATTTGCCACAGTGAATAGCTAACATTCTACCTTGTTTTATATTTTTAACTCCTGGGAATGAATACTCTGTAGACATTATCTATAATGAGTGCAGAAGATACAATATCTGTTCTTTCATTAGTTGCTAACCTGGATCTCAATCTTGATTCTTCCTTTTGGCAATATATCTGTTAAAAATTCAACTGTTTTGGAATTTTGAAAGAAAGCAGTCCTGGAGGGTTGAGGACTGGGACATATTTTGGCAGAAACTTGGGTAAACTTTTGAAATAGTATTATAGTTTACCTTCACGTTATCCCCAAAATCACCCCTGTCCCCAGCATACACACAAAAAGGCCTTTGCCGCATGGGCTTTTATTGTCGTAGAAGCTTTTCTTCTGTTTTCCAGTGAACTATGTAAGATTAAAGTGCCCCAAATAATATATGACCCAAATAAGGCTCTGGTGAGATATTATGTTGTATCCATTCTTCATCAATTTGTACTTTGTTCTTTTGTGTGTATTGCTAGGTTTTCCTTCTTAAGCCTGGTTCTGGACGGTATGTATCAACCTGTTTCTCTCATTGTTGTATTACAAGACTAATAAAACCTAAAAATTGGGTATCACTGTGGGCTGAGAGAGATTCTGTATACGTACAAAGTTCTGATACATCCTTGCAGGTAAAATGGTGTGGACTGGAGAACCAAAAAAGACAACAACCTCACTTTTTACTTCATGGATCTGTTTAATTTTATATAAATAAATTATCCCATAAAAATTTAAATGGTGGCTGAATCTTTAATATATATAAGCACCAGGAACCTTTGATAATAGAATTAAAGTTTTTTAGCCTTTAGATTAGTGAGATTACTAGGTCATTTTCCTAAATGTGCCACCACTTGTCTTTTGATTTACAGCATAAGGTTTTTTTATGTTTGCTGTTTAATTTGTTAGGTAGGGTAACTAATTGGAATCTTGCCTCCAAGAATTTTTTCAGTTCTAAGGTTATCTTGATATAAAAACAGTGATGTTGTTCACTGATCTATGCCAATCTCATGCTCTCTGGGAATTGAAATTGATTTTTTTGCTTTATTTTTTTGGTCCTTGGCATACACATTTATGTACCCTTTGAACAAGCATGATGCAAAAGGACTCAGGAAAACCAATAAGTAGTCATTCAGAAACTGGTTTTCAGGACATCACAAATTAGTTGCATCACAAGCCTCAGGATAAAACTAATGAAGTCACTAGTTCTTCCTGGTATTTTTATGTTTGAGCACACAGTGTGCAATAAGAACTGCCTTTAGAATTGAGAACAAACAACATAGATCTGATTTTTCTGGTCCTCATGAAATATGTAGAAATTAAACGACTCCTAGTTGTTGGGGAAAAGGATAGATGGCAGATGTACATAGAGCCTGGGAGTATTTTCTTAGGTGTCTTTTGATAAGCATGCTTTTGTTTGTTAGTTAGATAATGGGTCCCATCTTGTGTGCTTGTTTTATGTGCATCGCACATGGGGCATTGCATTCATTTACTCCATGAAGTAAACATGATGTTTAAGCAAAAATGAAGTTTGTAGATATATAGTAATGGTCATATATACTATATGAAGGTAACAGGTGTATAAGAATGAATAAAATATGCTTGCCCTTCAGAAAGTTGTAATATATTTAATTTTTAATTAAAACATTTAAAACTTATTTTTCAGAGTGTTTGTTATTTATAGCTAGACTTTACAATTTATTATGGCCAGGCTGTGCTCAACACAAGATTCGGTTGGATCAGGTAACCATAATTGAGCATTATCCTGAGTTCTACACTGTTAATGAATGCTAATGCTCTTTTGAAGGTCTCCTATTTATGGCCTCAATAACCATAAAGGCTTTTCTGCCTATAGCAGATAAAGTCTGAATAATGTCACAGGAAGTTGCATGAGAAATTATGCCGTTACCTATAGCTTTTCCCCTTTTTGCCAGCTAACTAAAAATGTTCATTTGGGATATTCCCATAGGGTAAATGTCTGTATCATACCTCAGATTTTTTTTTTTTGTCAGAGTGGTAAAAGCATTTCATGCACTTTTGAGTAAGTTTCCTGATATTAGTGCTTATTAATTGTATATTAAAAATTGAGGTGGAATTTTGATAGTAGTATGGTTAAAGTCTCAGAAATACCTGAACCTGCCCTGCCAATTACCTCTGTCCCTGTACAGAGTCCCCAGGGAAGATGCATGCAGGCAACAGCAGCCAAATGATAATCAGAATACCACTTTATTAATAGCTTGAGATGGTGCCAATTACCCATAAGGCAAGGCTCTTTGGTAAAAGGCCATTTGGAGCACATATTTTTGGCTTGTGTCTCTATATGTACATTTTCAGTATGGATTCCCTCTAGCCTAGCTACAGTTCAGGAAAGAAGTCAAAAAGAGAAAGAAATGGTCATGCCCCTAGAGGGGTTCTAATTTCAACTTACCAGGCATCTTCATCTAAGAAGTTAAAAGAAGGCAAGAGGGAGTAGACTTTAGTTTTAGGCTCTTCAATGTATAGTGACATTGTCTGCTAATATTTAAGGTCCAGTCAGTGTTTTTGGATCTGACATATGAAAAGAGCAACTGCTCCTTTGAAGAGGATGGACAGAGGTTGACCTGAAGAGGAGAGACAGGTCCAGTAGGATGGATAAATCATGGTACAGGTCAACCTGAAACCCTTGGAGTAAGAAATGTTTCACAGTTTGGACTTCTTCATATTTTAGGAAAACAATAAGGTGTATGTTTGTTTTTATGTCTATATACAATTATATGTAAACATATACACACATATGTCTATGTACAGTCATGTATGCATATACACACATATACACTGTACTTAATATATCAACCTCAGTGTGGGCTAAGGAAGCACTCCTTGATTAAAAATATTACTGTTTCCTTAAGAAAATACATGAAAATGCACAATAAGTGGCTGTAGTGGAATATTGCCCCCTACCCCATGTCCACATCTCAATCCCCAGAACCTGTGAATATGTCACTTTTCATGGTGTATTAGGCTGTTTTCACATTGCTAATAAAGACATACCCAATACTGGGTAATTTATAAAGGAAAGAGGTTTAATGGACTTACAGTTCCACGTGGCTGGGGAGTCCTCACAATTATGGTGGAAAGTGAAGGGGAAGCAAGACACATCTTACATAGCAGCAAGTAAGAGAGAGCATGTGCAGGGGAACTCCCGTTTATAAAACCATCAGATCTCATGAGACTTATTTATTACCATGAGAACAGTATGGGAAAGCCCCGCCCCCATGATTCAGTTACCTCCCACCGGGTCCCTTCCCCGACACATGGGAATTATGGGAGCTAGAATTCAAGATGAGATTTGTGTGGGAACACAGCCACACCAGATCACATAGTAAAAGAGGCTTTGCAGATGCGATTTAGGTTTAAGGACTTGAAGATGATGATATTATCCTGGATTATATGAGTGGACCCAATTTGATTACATGGGTCCTTGAAAGCAGAGAATCTTTCCCAGCTGTGGTCAGAGGATATGATGATGGAAAAATGGTCAGAGAACTGTTACCTTCCTGACTTTGAAAATGGAAGAAGGGAGCTCTGGTAAAACAAATGCAGGTGGCCTCTAGCAGGTGAGAAAGGTAAGGAGACATATTCTCACCTAGAGGCTCCAGCACAGAAAGCGGTTTCTCTGGCACCTGGAATTTTAGCCCAGTGAGAACCCTGATGAACTTCTGACCTCCAGGACTGTAAGATAAACGTTTGTGTTTTAAGTCACTAAGTTTGAGGTAATTTATTACAGAAGCAATAGAAAACTAATAAAGTGGGATAAGGAGCTGTAATCTTATTTTATTTCAGGTGAGGTTATGAAAAACCTTTGGGTTTTTAGAGCTTTGGGGTTATGAATTGCACTTAGGGATTGTAGACCTGTAGAAGGAATCGGGAATCTTGGTATTTTAACTGAATGATCTTATTGGGTGTGAATTTTTAATTCTAGCAGAAAGCGTTCCTTATAAAAATGTATTTTGGTTGTTACCTTCCCAATACTTCAGCCTTTGCTGATTTTTTTAAAGTTGTATTAACTTCCGTTGCCTTTATGGATCTTATGCTGGATGATGATTTATCCGACCAACTTGGCTGATCATGGGCCTTGGTTCACTGTAAATCAGATTAAGTAATGTATATGAAGGGCCTCACACTCTAAAGTACTGTGCAAATATACATTGGTCCTTGTTGATTATTTTTATTATTGAGCACCTGCTTTCTGTCCCTCCTTCCTTCTAGGATGGTTGGGGGTTGGAGGGGAGGAAATACTGCAGGGTGATTTTGTGAGTGTGGCAGTGGTACCGCCCCTTTCTCTGGCTGCCAGAAATCCCTTCCTGTACTCAGTCTTTACACTGTGTGTGGCTCCAACGGAGGTGGCGACTGGAATGAATGCCTCACCACAGAAAGACTGGATACCCTTGGGCTCACCCATGTTCCTCATTGTTAGCCACCTAATTGCATGAACATTTTAAGTGAGGAAGAGAGATTATCGATGTTCTGGTTCTTCTCTTGGCAGAATCCAGGGCAAAGTCCACATACTGAAACTTGCTGAGAAAATATACCGTAAAGTATAAAGCATATTTTACCATACAGGTCAGCTGTTCACATTACAAATGCAGTATTTGTTTTTCTTGTAATGCTGTGCCATTGTAGTATACTCCATTATTATGAAATGATTGTGGCTGTCTGATTCATGTTTGAAGTTTATGTTTTCAGTGATCTATTTCAGAATGATGATATTACCTTTGATTCAAATTAAACTGCCAACTCTTGTACTGTCCTTAATCTGTAGCTGAATCTTCAGGAACGTCAATTTTCCTATTGATCCTTTTGATGTCCAGTCACTGGAGGAATGTCATACTGTGCCTGAAAATTATGCGTGTGGTTGCATTATTGTTTTTCCTTCATTTTTTTTTAAGAAAACTGATAGGTTTTGAGCTATAGTTTACAATCAATATAAGTCCAAACTTTTTTCCTTGTTAAAGACATGTATCTTCTCTTTGCCTTAATATTCTCATTATCCCTGCCCCCAACACAATGCTTTGTCTTTCCAACATTTTTGGTATGATACATTTGAAATCTTTTCTTTGCTTTTGATGAAAGTGATTGCAATTCAAATACAACTTGACAACTTTCTCTAGACAAGTCATGTCTTTGTAATCAATAACAAGATAGTTGGCCAGGTGCAGGGGATCATGCCTGTACGTTGGAAGGCGAAGGAAAAAGTATTGCCTGAGCCCAGGACTTTGAGACCAGCTTGGGAAACATAGTGAGACTCCATCTCTACAAAAAATAAACATACATTTGCTGGGTATGGTGGTGCACAACTGTATCCCTGCTACTTGGGAGGCTGAGGTGGAAGGATCGCTTGAGGCCAGGAGGTTGAGGCTGCACTGAGTTGTGATAGCACCCTTGTACTCCAGCCTGGGTGACAAAGTGAGACCGTGTTTTAAAAACAATGACAAAAAACAAATATGGCTATTTATGTCAAAGTTTTAAATAACTTTATCTAGACCATGGGCTCAAGTAAAAAATTTAGCATATTAGGAATGCTGTAGAGAAATTTTCTCACCTGAAATCTATCCTGGAATTGCTATAATACGTAATTATGATTTTGTTTCAATGCTTATTGATTCCACTGAATTCTAGTTGAAGTATTTATTTAAAAAGTTGCAGAACCTGGAGAGTGCCTTATTCTTCACACTACAATGTATTAGGCTCAGGCTAGCTGCTGGGGGTGAGTTTGGAGGGAAAAAGGATGTAGACCTTAATAAGTTTATTTCTAGTATGTGAAGTAAGACTTGTGCAAAGGTGTAGTGCTGTAGAAAAGTATGAGTTTCTGTAGAGAGGAGCAGATTAAGGAGGAGAAATCTGGGTAGGAAATGCTGAACGCTTAATGGAAGAAGTGGCATATGAACTATGAAGGGTGGCATTTGGATGTGCAGAGATAGAAGGAAAGATATTCTAACCGGGAAATGGGGTAGTGAATTATTCAGGCAAAATTCTGTTTACTCTATGGCAAATGGGCCTTTAGGAGTCACCCTCACCCTGCCCTGCCTTGCATCCAGTTGTCTTCACCACACCTTCCAGCTGTGTTGAGCTATAGGGAGTGTCCTGCAGGTGTCAAACTCTTTCCACTTCGAAACTGTGTGAACAGATGAATTTCTGTACAATGAGACTTTCACGTGGAGTTTTTAAGACAATTCATATTAAGGTGTGGGAATTGCTGTTTGTAAATGACTTCTTCATAGTTGTTTAGTCTGGCCAACCACAAAGTCCTAGCTTTCCAGAGCTTGTATTTAGGGGATGTGTATTGCCTGACTCCACTAATGCCACTTGTACATTCATTCCTCTGCTTATTCTCAAAGCAGGTCTATTCTGTTCAGTGCTCAAAAGACATGGATGAAAGACAAAATAGTTGCTTCTGAGCTCACCGGTGATGAGAGACTTTTTTTTTTTTTTTACTTTTTTGAAAATATAAAACAATCATAGTTGTACTTAATGTATGAAGAAAGTGTATGGAAACAGAGGTGGGTGTGACAATTCTGCCTGGTGGCTAGGCATCAGGGAAGAATGCCCAGAGAGGAGATGCTTGAGCTGAGTCATGAAACATGAGTGGGGGAACCTGCCAGATGGACACAATGGAGGGGGATGTTTCAGGATATGACTGCAAGTGTACAAAGGGAAGGGAACATGAAAAGTTTGGGGACAGTTAGTCCTCAGGAACAGGACTGTGTGCATGGGACATGTAGAGCATGATGAAGCTGGAAGGGTAGGCAGCCCATGTAGTGTATAAATTCTAGATCAAGGGTTTATGCTTCATTCTGGAGGTAGCAGTGATCGTTGAAGGATGTTAAACAGGGATGCCATATATATATTCCCTTTGAGAACAGGTGTCAGGATGATAACATCTTAATATAAAATTGTTCAATGCAGAAGCAATACTAGGTGTCAGCTAAGAGCTGAGGCTTCACAATATAACATTTCTTATAGGCGGTATGAATGGGGTCAAATGAACTTCTCCATAACTCAGTTTCTTTATCTGCAAAGTGGGGCTAATAATAGCAGCTGTCTCTGAATTGGTATGAGAATTAGATGAGCTATTGTTGCCAAAGAATCCAACTATTATAGTAAATGCAATAATCATGTGCATTTACTATGCATTCTAATTTTATTAAGAATAGTGACTAAGTGTCCAATGAGAAGGTGGTAGAGTGAGAACTGAAAAGCACTTGAAAGTCAATTGGAGTCTGTGTTTTAACTTACTAATGAAGTCCAGAAGCTATAAGATGAATTTTAAATATTTCTTAATCTGAGGTTGTTTTGTTTACTGGACTGAGCAAAGACAACTGGAAAATGAGAAAAGGTAGAAATTAAAAATGCATTGCTAGTGTGGCAAACAAACAGCATCTGGGACCCTGACTGGTATTAGCCTGATTCAGGTGAGGTTATTGAAACTCCACTGCACAGTTAATATTATTGTGTCCCCATACTGGCAAAGGTAGAATCATCACAGGGAAATTTACAAAACATAGGGAACGCTGAGGTTGGAAGAGCTTTACCACCATGACTCAATTGGCCCAGGTCAATGTGGCCTGAAGTCTGGGCCACCAAAATGGTGCAAAGGTTTCCTATGACTTCTGCTGGCCTTTTAGGGATGAATACTAATCAGTAAAATGTGGATAACCATAAAATTGTATGTTTGAATACTCAAAAATCTCTCATATACTATACTTAGTAACTTAAACATATATTTAATGAAAAAATTTCAGAAAAGAATGAGGCACAGATTTAGTGCTTCAGCTGGTAAAAGCGTATTAGTGTGTGCAAAGTATTTCACAAACTGCCATGCACATTCTAACTATGTGATAATACCTATATGTTAAATATATATATTTGTATTATATATATTACATCTATATCTATATATCATAGGTCTTTCTGTTATTAAAAAGCAAAATATCATTTTTAAGAAGGAAAGATAGACTGATACTTCATAACATATCTGTGGTTTTGTTAATTATAAGTATATTTTCTTTGCTATTTAAAAAGATGTTTTGATTCATCTCCCTAACACTTTAGCAAATTTTAAGGTAATAACCATTATAATTTTTGGCAAGAGAGTGATTTTATTTCATGGGATTTCCAGTTAATATTGAAACATTCTATTTTATTGGATAGATAAATCTAAACAGCAGGTCAGGACTTTTATTTTTGTGTTTTGTTTTTTTGAGACGGAGTTTCGCTCAGTTGCCCAGGCTGGAGTGCAGTGGCGAGATCTTGGCTCACTCCAACCTCCGTCTCCTGGTTCAAGCAATTCTCCTGCCTCAGCCTCCTGAGTAGATGGGACTACAGGTGCGTGCCACCGTGCCCAGCTAATTTTTGTATTTTTAGTAGAGATAGGGTTTTGCCACATTGGCCAGGCTGGTCTCAAACTCCTGACCTCAAGTGATCCACCCACCTTGGAGGACTTTTAAATGTTTACAACTTCTCATCTAATCTCTCCAATGTTATACAAAGCAGCAGTCAGACCTTGGCCCCTTTTGCTGAGCATTTACTTAAAGATTAAAAGATGAATAATTGCTACTCTCCCAGTCATGTGAATCACTAGTACCAAAGGAAGGAACAGTGGAAGTTTTTAATGAGTTGGTGCTGTTAATAAAAAAAGAGGTGGGTGGTAAATTATATATCCAAGCCCTTGAAAATTAACCTCCAGCACACGTTATTAGTTTCTTTCTTTTTTTTTTTTGCTTAGAGTTACAGTTTAATTTTTTGATAAAGCAGTTTATTGCCCTCTAAAAGATACTTAAGTTAGAAAAAAGTGTTGCTTATCCGAAAGGATCAATTTATCAATGGCCGTGTTGTGCTGTTTTTTTCATTTGCATTGTGAACCCCCTTTTAGGGTTCTTGTTAGAAACCTGTGTGGATTTATTTGTAGAGTAGCACACACTGAATTGGACTTAAGGATTAAATGAATTCCATGAACTAGAAGGATGACCTTGTAAACAGGAAAAGATTTCATTATATGTTTTCCTTGCTATCAGTGTAATAGAATTTGTGTTGTATGCCTGATGTTCAGACCTTTCTTTTTTATTTTTGCATGAATTATATTAAAAAAAGATTGAAATTTATCATCCAGACAGCAGACAATAAATTGGCTGAGTTCTAATTGTGAGGATTATAGCACTACATTTTATTTTCCCTCTGTCATGCTCAGCAAATAAATAATCCCGTTTACACTTCAGCCTCCAAAACATGCTTGCATCTTTGGGCATGATGGGAATACCACGTGGGCACATAGTTTTATGGTCAGAATCCTAGTTATGTGGATTTTTATTTCTTGTCTATGTAGCCAACTAGTGTAAAGTCTGGTATTTTGTGCAGGTATTAAAGCTCTGTTAGACTGAGAGAAGATAAAATAGAGGGGGGATGAAAGAATTTAACTGTCAGTTTCTGTTTCTGGTGGAAATACAGCCCACTGCTGCTGTATGCTAGAGAGGGAAGCTTTGGAAGCCTCAGAATGATCAAGCCAAATGGTAAAGTTCTAACAGTTTACTGCTAATTGATTAGCTTTATGTATAAGGAGGTGCAATTATATGCTATTCCAGCCAACTCTCTTTTTAAAGTTTGTCTGACTTTTAAACCAGATTAATTCCGTCTGTTCAAAATATCCGCCCCCTGCCACCCCACCCCCGCTTCCGTACAAGGGCCTGATTCATTTGACCAAAGACCTAGGCCATGACAGCCAGCTGTGACAATAGGGGGTAAATTAAAATAGCCTATGGCCAGGGTCAGACCATCTCTGAGAGATAATAGAAGAGTCCCTAAGGCCTGGTGAATGAAAGTGTTCAAATTCTATTGTGTACTCTGGTTAAGAACAATCTATAAAAAGGTAGCATTTAAAGTACATGAGAAGCAATAAATCATTTCCTCTTTCTACAAATTGGTTTAGAGAAAATCTCTAGGACTACAAAAGGATATTTTACTGTTTCTATGGCAGTTTAATATTAATAGGAAATACTTATTTGGTATATATTGTGTTGTTACATTTATATAATTCTTCTGATATTTTTTGGAAAGCCTTTATCATATGATAGCTTCAATTTTGGAAGGTACATAGTATATGTATTTGTCACCAGTTTACATGTAACTAAACTGAGGCTTGTAGTAAAGTTCAGAAGTGTGAGTTCCCAAAAATGATTAGTGGTAGAATCGAATTAGAAGCCAGCCCTAATTTCTATACTTTTGAATTGACATCTATGATTCAGAAAAGCATGTAGTTGCTTAGGCAATGGGACAGGGATTGTATTACTCATTACTTCTGGGGCATTCTCAACTATGATAGGACTTTAGTCATACCTCTACAATGTTGGGAGGAGAGATACATATTTAAAAAGCAATAACAGCAGTTCAAGGGAAAAAACATAATCTACTTGTTTTCTTAGGGGGGCATAAATGGAAGGAATTATTTTTACAGAAAACACATCTATCCCACTTGTTCTGGGGATACGGTGTCTTATCTTTGAAATGGGCTTCTGCAAAGTCAATAGTGATGGCGAATTAGTAGTTGCATGATGCAGTGTTTTCTATATATCATAAATTGGTCAAGTATGATGATTTTTATTTCCATTCTTATTAGAAATGATCATTGTGAATAATCTGCCCATTTTTCTCAGGAGTGTATGATTTAAAGTGTCATCATGTTTTTCATTCTCAAAATGGACTAATAAAACCTACCTCTGGAATGAATAAATACCTTATTATAGATGTTGAAATTGTATAAATAGGAATGTTCATCCTCTCCTTGAGTGAAGATTTATTATTCCAAACACAAACATTCCCAATCGAAGGGTTTGAAAGTGTCCTTCAATCAACTCAAGATCATTTTGTATAGCCAGGGTTCAATCAAATACCACTTTTTAATCAGCTAATTACATGAAGCAGAACAGGTTTTCCTGCCAAACAAATGACTGGGGAGGAATAATTCTCTAAGTGCATATCCTTGAATATTTTTTCCCCAACAAAATAGTCCTGTCAGGAAACCAAGCTCACAAGGTTAAAGTGATACATGCTTTGGCCAGTTTCTAGGTTTGCTCTTAAACTTCAGTTGGAATTACATCTTGTGGGCACAGACTTGCTGGTTTTAATTTTGAAATAGTTTATCATTATTTTAGGAAGAATATGGGAACGTTTGAGTGTGTTTGGGAAAGAAAATTAGTTCCTCATTACCTCCCCTGTCCCTGCCAATAAATTCATGAATCTTCATGTTTCTCATTCTGCGTTAACCTTTTCTCTCCATCATCCAGATATACTGCGGCTCAGGAAGCCAAGAACAGTCTCCTATTGGACATCATCAGTTCGTCATAGGGATAATTTCCTGGCCTTCTTAGATAAGAGAGTTCAACTTCCCTGTGGTCTTTTTCTAAAAGATCTTAACTTGTAATCCTACAAAGTTAATAGTACATATGTTTATCTCATGGAGGCCCAGGGAGCCAAAAAAGATTTGCACAAGCAGGTTAGTGTTAGAATGCAGAGACAGGAATGCAGGTCTTTTTTCCTGCCAGATCTTTGGATTTAAACTAGGAAACTCAAAAGTAATGCAGTTGCCAAGGTGAAATAATCTATTCATCTTCCTACTTACAGTGCAGTCTCAGTTACAATAGGAAGTCATATCTCAGTTAGGCATCTATTACACTGAGCACACACAATAAATGTTTTTAAAGCTTCAAGAGTTGAGAAAATAACATACTGTTCCAATCCAGGGACTACTGGAAGATATGCTATAGCTTTTTTCCATCGCTTTCCATTGTTTATTGCCTACTTCTACTACTTAGGTTTTTTGTTGTTGTTGTTGTTGTTGTGTTTTTCTTTTTTTCTGACACCAGTAGTTTTCATCTGAGCATTAGGAAAATAGCAGAGGTTGATAAGATTTTCTCATGTCAACAACCTAGCATATAGCTGGGAACCTGGGAACATACAATATTTGGGCACATGATATATTGATAAGGGGCTTGATATAATGCTTGTTCTTTTCTCTCTGCATCTGCATTTTGTAGGCAGGCCTCTGGATGTGGAGGCCACATGGCTATGCTGAAGTTAATGTGGCTGGGTCAGCATTTGTGGGACTTCAGTGAGTTTCAGAAGTCTTTTTCCACTAGCTAGCAAGAAGCCTGTTTGGATGTTGATAGCCCAAATGGGGCTTGGCCCTAAAAGTTAGGGGAAAAGGCAGAGTTCATTTCAGGGAGGCACAGAGAAGATCTCATTCTGAAAAGCAATGATAGTGATTACCATGGCAGGTCAGGGATGTCAGCCACAAATCCTAAAGTGTTAACATGGAACACCACTGTAAAGCTTATCAACTTGCAGTGCTCCTAAAAATGGAATAAGACTATAAATACATGCCCTAAGGTTCACGTGGCAGTCTACAGACACAAGTAGGAAATTGCTCTGAAATCTCAGATTTCATACTAGAAATGAATGTAGATTCTGTACTCCATAATTTTTGCTATATTATCCAAACATAAATAAAACAAAACAAAAACATCTAGAAACCAGGACCTTATTTATACTGGGGTATTATTCTTGTGTTCTCTGGTATACCTCTCTGGATCAGTTCCAGAGAGTTTTCACATCTCAGTTTTAGTCATAACTCTACTGAAGAAGAAAAAAAACCTAAATAACTTTTCAAAAGGATCATACAAACAAGCTCTACAGTGTTTGGTTCATATCCAAGGCAAAGAATCAGTGTGGTATAAAACAGGAAAAATATCCAGCGACAATTTAAATGTTTTCCAAGCCTGCTATTAGGTTTTAATGGAATTTTTCCTCTGCTGGTGAAACAAATAGAAACAAAAAGTAAATAAGTGAAACATTTTCTGTTGACAAGAGAAAAATACTGTGTAGTAGGAAGACTCTTAGGAGGCACGTTCTGGTACTGGCTGAACTTCATATGAACGTGGGACCCTAGGCTGACCTGTGATGTCTCTAGCTTGGTGACTATGTAATTTATTGTCTCTTTGTGGAGGTGCTATTCAAACCTGGAGTGTCCTGGTGTCCTGGGCAAATTGGGCACCCTGTCTTCCATTCTTTTTATTTGTTGGCGAATGAGAAGTTTACATTAGGTTAGATGTTTTTAAGCATTCTTTTGTCAGCAAACTCAAAATTAAGACAAAGTTCAGTGTGAAGCATGGACGGGGGCAGGATTCCAGTTCCCCACCCTCTCTTCCACACACACCCTACCCAAGGACTCTGAGGGATCCTTGGCATGCAGTTTAAAAATTATGACATTCCATGGTTTATTCCACCCATTATTAGCCTTCAGTTGGAATCACATGCCACATCTTCATGTACAGATGATGTTTAGGTAAATGCAAATCCTAACAGAAGAAAGAAGGATGCAATCTCATCTAAGATAAAAGCATCTTCTTATTCAGCTTTGCTTGTTTATGCCTTTCCTTTCTTAATACATATTTTGTCTATTTGGAGGATGAGTTTGAGTCAGACTTCATTTCTTCTATCCTTTTTAATGCCTTTTATTTGAAAGACTTGAACTTGAAGAATATAATTTTAGGGGTGGGCCCATATAGAGAGAGCATTTCAAGACAAATATCACATCAGACATTCTTCTGGGTGCCCAAGAAAGCAACTGTGTTGTTACCTTACCCTCCATAGTCACCAAGGTGACTATTCCAGGGCTGAGACCTTAAGCAATATGCAGTGTAAAAATGAGGCTATATTCAAGAAGGTATATGCAGGTCCTCAAGAAGCAGCCCTGACTGGCATTTCCCCAGTGTGAATAATCAGTTTTGATTGTGCCATTTATTCTGTCCCCTTGTTTCTCTGCTGTATTCTTTCCCATTCCTAGTCTCTTTATTGCAGATATCTCATCCATCTTCCTGCACCTGATTTGGGAGTGTTGTTCCTAACACCACTCTAACCACTGTGTCTGTATAGTACTCTCAGTTAAGCTGCCTCTCCTCTACACATATAACATTCAGGCAGCAGGAAGCCAAGTCCCTTGCAGAGGGAGTGGAATGAACTTGCCACCCCTTCCCATGTCACTGATGTACTTGCAGACACACTGCCAAGAGAGATTGTAATATTCCGTGCACACTGGACATCAGCTGGAACAGGAGGGAGGGGAAACAGCTTTTATGATAGCTCCTATGTTAGTGCTTTTCCTCAATATTGGCTGGCGCAGGCTTTTGAAATTTTGTGTCTCACACCTCACTGGGGATTATCTGGAGGCCCCTTATTATGGATGCTATCAAATTTGTAGGGTTGGTGGTCTTAGACCTGACCCAAGGCACGTAGAAATGCTTCTTTTTTTAAATAACATTTACTGGTTTACTATAAGGGATATTACGAAGGATATAGAAGAAATGCATAGGACAAGGCATAGGGGAAACTTCCATGCCCTCCATGGATGTGCCACCATCCAGGAACCACCATGTGCTCAGCTATCTGGAAGCTCCCTGAACCCTATTCTCTTGGGTTTTATGGAAGCTTCATGACTCAGCATCCCTTCCTCTAGGGTATGGAGCCAGATCCTCTCTGGAATGAGGGTCTTATGACCCACAATCAGAAAGGTAAGGAAGATTAGAGCCCTGCCTTGGGACAGGTGAAAGGGAGGCAGGAGAAAGTCAGAGCGGCTCTGTTTCCTGAGGCTGCCCCTGAGGCTTAACACATCCACCATTATAACAAAAGACTGTAACAAGGGCTATGGAAGTTATGTTCTGTGGCTTTCTTCTGTTTAGTTATAAGACAGCCTTGGGCCTAATGACATTCCTGTGTAGATCTGCACATCTTCAGAATTCAGCTGCTTCTTGGCTGATGGTACTTCCCCTTCTGGTTCATTTAGTTACCTGGACTATTTCAGGCACAATTATCTAAGAATGAGTGGTTAGAAGACAGTATCTATCTCCAGCTGTTTGATATACAGTAGGAAGCATACAGGTTGCAGCAGGTAACAAGCATTAGCTGCCATGGCATACTAGAGGGCTGCTGTATTAGTCCATTCTGGCACTGCTATAAAGAAATACCTGAGGCTGGGTAATTTATGAAGAAAGAGATTTAATTGGCTCACGATTCTGCAGGCTGTGCAGAAAGCATGATTCTGGCATCTGCTTGGCTTCTGGGGAGGCCTCAGGAAACTTACATCATGGCCGAAGGCAAAGGGAGAGCCAGCACTTCACATGGCTGGAGCAGAGGGAAGGGGGAGGAGGAGGTGCTACACACTTTCAGACAACCAGATCTCGTGAGAACTTACTCACTATCATGAGAACAGCACCAAGGGGATGGTGCTGAATCATTCATGAAGGATCCACCTCCATGATCCAATCACCTCCCAGCAGGCCCCAACTCCAACACTAGGTAGATTACAATTCGACTTGAGGTTTGGGCAGGGACACAGATCCAAACCTTATCACCTGTGGTTCCTTGGAGAGGCTTGGAGTCTCCCTGAGTTACTGCCATCCCTCAAATATAGCTCACCAACCATCATTTATTCAGTGCCTACTATGTGCCGTGTGTTTTCCCCACACTTGCCTATTTTCTATATTAATAAGGTAATATGTTAGTATCCTATTGCTGCTGTAACAAATCCTACCAATGTAGTAGCTTAGAACAAGACAAATTTATTATCTTACAGTTCTGGAAGTCAAAAGTTCTAAAGTCAAGGTGAGGTGTAAGCAGGGATGCATTCTTTCCAAAGGTCCCAGGTTCTAGAGGCTACCTGCACTCTTTGGCTTGTGGCTCCTTCTTCCATCTTTAAAACCAGCAGTGTGCCATCTTCAGATCTCTCTGTCTGACCTCTGCATTTGTCATTCCATCCTCTTCTCTTTCTTTACCTTATGAGGACCCTTGCAATTACATTGAGTCCATCTGGAATAATCCAGGATAATAATCCTATCACAAGATACTTAATGACATCTTCAAAGTCTCTTTTGACACATAGAGTAACAGTCATAGGTTCCAGAGATTATGATATGGGCCTCTTTGGGGATGGGGGCCATTCTATCTACCGTCGATGGTAATAACTGTCACCACCAGAATGATAGCAATAGCCAACATGTATTGTGTTCATGTTATACAGGCAAAGCATTGTCTTATTGTAATCTTCACAACAACTGTAAGGAATAGGTAGCAGTATCCTTATTTTACAGTTGAAGGCACTGAGAGGCAAGTAACTTGGGAGAGGTTAAGCAACTTGCCTAAAGTCACGCAGCTAGTTAGCTGCAGAAAAAGGATTCAAATCCAATGCATAGCATTACTTTTGAGTTTCCTAGTTTAAATCCAAAGATCTGGCAGGAAAAAAGACCTGCATTCCTGTCTCTGCATTCTAACACTAACCTGCTTGTGCAAATCTTTTTGGCTCCCTGGGCCTCCATGAGATAAACATATGTACTATTAACTTTGTTGCTATGCAACCCTACAATTATTACTTCTGTAGTACAGGTAGGCTTAAGTGAAAAGAAGGCTCTTTCTCCAGATCACACAGGCACTCAGTAAGGGAGTTGATATTCAAGTTGAATCTCTTGGACTCTGAAGCCTCTGCCTTAAACGCTGATCTACGTGTGCTGAGGATATCAGAGGATTGTTCCACCTCTGATTTTGCTTTCAGCTGTGGTTTCTCTGACCTTTGTTTTGCATCTTTGTTTTGTTTCCCTTTGTGGATAGTGCTGGTCTATCGGTGAAGTCAGCTGGAGTAGGTTGCCGCTTTGGTCATGATGTCACAGGCTGAGGGTTAATGGGAGAAGCCCTTTGGCTTAGAGCAGCTGAGCTTGCTTGTTTGTGGCTGCTGCTGTGCTCTGCACAAATGGAGTTCGTTCTTGGCGTGGTTTATTGTAGGTTGAGGGGACCACTAGCTGCCTCATTTGAACTAAAGACCTTGACTTGCATTGAATTTTAAACATGGGCCCTGGGATAGAAAAGCTAATGTTTTATGGAACCAGCTACAATTTAGTTACCATAACAACTTGGTAACCCTTATTCTGTCTTGGCTTGCTGCCTCTGAGTGTGATGTACAGCAGTCATTCTGGCCAGCTGAAATGGGCTCTCACCTTATTCTTGTTAGGCTTATTGATAAATAGCTTGGTTTCGTGATACACATTTCAAAGTCATCACCTTTTTTTATGCTGCTGACCTTCCCTTAAGCTGCAGGTTGTATAAGGAGAAACTGCAGGAGTAATGCTGTGCTGGTTTTCTGTTCCTGAGATATTTTACCATGAAATTGTATGCCTGTGTGTGTGTTGAGAGAAAGGGGTGGTGAGGAGGGAAATAGGTAGATGAATGAATTTGTGTTTGTGGAGCAGAGTATCATAGTAGTGTATTTCTGTCATCTGCAAAAGAAAAAAAAACCTTTTGAAATAACAGTAACAGTAATTTAATCTTGTTCTTTAAACAGTGAATTTGACATACTCTGAAAAAGTTGTGGGCAATACAATTGAAGACGGGATTCCTTTCTTTCATTCAAGCATTTTGTTATTCACTAAACTATTTAAATGTGAAACTTCCTTGATAAGTAACCTGAAGTAGAGTTTAAATTTTGTATATGGGAAAATAGTGAGGGGGCTGGTGGGAATTTGAGGGAAAACTTAGATCAGCTTTTTTTAAAAAAAAATTCCAGTAGGTAGAAGAGTGTTCTGTTCTGTTTCATAAAGGGTTAGTAGGTATTTTGGTTGTGGGGAGGCAAAGGTAGGGTGTTGATGCCTTACGTATTCCTCCTTGGGAGATACAGATCTATATTTGTACTACATGCTATGAAAAGGTCAGCAGTGGAGAAACCTATTTAACTGTTTCTTTCTGCATTTGGTCCCAGAGCCCCGTTTTCAGATAGGCAACTGTGAACATCTCATAGAACAATGTTTGGGAAGTGGTGCTTTAGAGGTGTAATAATAAAGAGGAAACCAAAGTCAGGATTTCACCTTCTATTCCTAACCCTCTCTGTAGTGATTTGGCTATAGAACAGATTCAGTACTTTTATTCTGTATTAAGAACTGATGCATTTTCTGTACTTCCCTCCCCAAATGTTAAAAAGGTCATTTCTTGTGGTTTGTGTTAGCCAAGACTCCATCTATGCATTGATTTGAGCAATTTGTATAACATTTTATTCTGCTTTTTCTCCTTATCTAAATATGACAGTATATTGCTAAGGGACATTATAAAGTCACCTTTGGAGAATTCTAAAGGAAAACAGTGACCACCATTTTTATAGGATAGCTAGAGTTCAGTCTTCCAGTGGATAAAATGTGCATTCACTGAAATCTGTGTTATCTTTATTCTAATTTGTTCACTTTAAAAAGTAATAATAAACCCCAAGCTGTTTTTGTACACTGGAGATAATTTAGACTAAGCTACATACACCTTTCTTTTTTTAACAATGAAAAAACTCTCATCTAAAGAAGTGAGAAACCCAATGTCACCAAGTGAGAATACTGGATGTAGCATCTGAATCTCTGACTCCCCAAGAATGCATTTCCTTGTTTTGTCATTGGTAATCTTAAGAAGTTGAATTAAGCAAAAATATTTAGGAAAGGGATATTAAACCCCTCTTGACAGTATCCCTCCTTTAAGAGATATGGCTCTCTAATACTTTGCCTGTTGTTTAAGATACAGACCTCTTATTAAGGAGGGAATTTTTGGGATTACTTTATTCATGTATGCCTATCCATGATGTTATCCAGTGTTAAATTATTTTCTTCCAATACAAAAAAGCTGGAGGACAGCATATTTGAGTAATGAGGTGGGCAGGAACCAGGTCATTGACTACTGTTTACTACATATATGTTCTGACATTTATTTCTGGCCCAGTTAGCTTGCTGAATACTTAATCCTTTGTGTGCTAGTGGCCAGTATATTGTGTGTGATTTAGCAGAGTCAGTAGCTTTTCTAATTCTGAACAGCCTTTGTGTACTGTGGTGTCTGTCCATGGTTAATAGTATTCAAATAACAATGCCACTTGATGATTTTGAGGCAATTGTTAATCTCTGTCTGAAGCTTCCTCAGGTCCCATTTGCTAGAATTTTGTTGTCTTTCTCTTTTTCCCCTTCTCTTTTCTTTAAAAAATTTTGGCTGGGTGAAGTGGCTCATGCCTGTAATCCCAGCACTTTGGGAGGCTGTGGTGGGTGGATCACGAGGTCAAGAGATGGAGACCATTCCGGCCAACATGGTGAAACCCCGTCTCTACTAAAAATACAAAAATTAGCTGGGCGTGATGGCACGTGCCTGTAATCCCAGCTACTTGGGAGGCTGAGGTAGGAGAATCGCTGGAACCAGGGAGTCAGAGGTTGCACTGAGCCAAGATCTCTCCACTGTACTCCAGCCTGGCAATAGAGTGAGACTCTGTCTCAAAAAAAAAAAAAAAAAAAAAAAAAATTCTACAAGAACATTGTATGAAATTTTGACATAACTGATTTTTGCATTTATGTTTAGATTAGAAAAATGTATGTCCTAAGCAAGGGAGTTAGATTCATCCAGCACTGTCTACATTATTACCCAAAGGAATTGTATGCTAGGAAAACTTGACGATGGAGGACCCAAATTTATAGGTTCATTTAATATTTTCAAGCAATATTCTTTCCTGCTGATATAAAATTAGAGTTAGTGGCAGTCAACAACAGATAATACCTCAAAGTGGTATAACATGTTTTAAAATATTTTGGTCTTATACACACCGCAGGCAAAAGAAATAGCTGCTCGTGTGTATTACTGCTGAAATTCTGACTTTGTTTATTTTCTATAAACATAATAACTAGTTTCATGTGAGTACATAATTTCTAGGAAGAAATTAGAAAGAGTTGGAGTAAAGTGGAACATACATAAGACATATTTACCTACTGCAAATATACTTCCTGGTATACACTAACTCAATTTTTATTTTTAGGAAGGAAATCAGATAAAGACAATGTGTTAAATCCTTCTTGGCTTCAGAAATGTTAGTAGTTTGCATATTTTCTTAGGTGCTGTTAGCACGATTACTCATTTTCTGGCATGATGTGGTGAAAGCATGTCTTTATGAAGATTAAAATGAAAAGGAAAAGAGATATAAGGATTTGGCTTTTTGAAAATCATCTCCCAAGGCAGGGCAGACAAAGAAAGAAATGATCTATCTTGCCTCAATAAAGCTATAAAAATAAGGCATGCTTCAGGCATAAATAGGATCAGAACCTAATGTGAATCAGATATAATAAAGACAAAAAGAAATGTGTTGACACTGTCGTTTCACATGCTTTTTTTGCTGCCCCGATTAGCTGATGAGCTAAAGACTACATATGTCATTTACTACTTGGTTAGTGAGTATGAGTTGGCTTCTCCATTCTGGTCAACTCTATCACTGATGGAATTGAGCTACACTAGACTGTGGTGAAATTAACTGAGTTTAAAGCATGCCCTTGGGGTGGGTGTCCAGCCTTTTCTGTTCAGTCCCCCACACTCTCACCAACTGACTTCCACAGAATGAGCCATGTGCTTTGGAAGTGTGAAGAATACATGTCTACTATTAGGCTGCCATTTCTTGACAGGTGGTAATTGCTAGGAGGTGAGGGTTTATGTCATGGAAATCTTCACAGAAGTGATGTTTGAGTTGAGTCTTGCAGGGTCTATAACAGTTTGCAGGAGGCATGGAGAGGTAAAGTGACATGGCCTGTGTAGGGTACTAAAAATATGATCAAAGTGCTGCCTGGCTGGAGCCTAGAACTAAAGGTTGGAAGGGGCAGTAAAGTCTTGAAGGGCAGATAGGATCTATATTATGCAGAACTCACATGCTCTGCTAAGGGTTTAGAACCCGTGGCACTGGAAAGAATGATAGCTTGCATTTATAAAGGTAAGTCCACCAGCAATATGGGGGAAGAGCTAGAAGAAGGCTGAGACTTGAGAATAGGAGTTTAGTAGGGAAATGCATTCACTGGTTTATGTTAAAGGGGAGGAGGGCCCAGTTTAGTGTAGTGGTAGTGGCGATGGAAAGGTGCAGATGGCTGGAGAGAAATTTAGGTGCTATAATTACCAAGAGTTGGTAACATTCGAAATGGGGAGTGAAGGATGGTAATGAGAATTAAGTGAGATATTAGATCTTAAGTGCTTAACACAGTATACGGCACCTGGCACATTGTAAGCACAAAAGAAATGGAACATGTAATTCTGCTGTTACCCATAACGGCAATAAGAAACATCTTGGAGATTCCTGTCTGTAATAACAGTAACTCAGGACTTCACCTCTATGTAGCCCCATCTCCAAATACACATGAAACCTTACAGATTTCATACTCTTGCATTTTTCTTTCTGTGGAGACTTTTCTTTATATGATGGCCTGACAATAATATTGAAGTACTTTATAGTGCTAATAACTTAATTTTTACATGCCCTTACCCAGTGACCTGCTACATTTTAAAAATGCACTCAGATGTGGACCACATCTGTTTACCTCTATGCTATCATTAAGAGAGAAAGTCCCAGCCTCCAATTCAAATTTGATTATTTGCCCAGGGTATTATTCTGTAAGTATTTCCTTTCTCTTTGTGTCTTTAGAGCTGTATTTTAATCCTTGTTTCAGACACAGTATTTCTTCCAATTTAGTAAGTTATGAAATGAAGCTATTCATAACTCTCCAGTAATACCAGCAAACAGTTCCTTGATAGTATGCTAAAACTGGGGCTGAGAAGTTTGAGAGTCTGTTGGTTTTATGCCCTGCCTTATACTCTACCATTTATAGACCAGTCTTGATTGTCTTATGCTGGTAGTGTCTGTTGTTTCAGATATGTCAAAGAGTCATTGGTGATTCATTAAACAAGCACTGAGCTAGGATTCAGAAGTCAATAAGATATTTTTTGCCCTTAAAACTTATAAAGCACAACTGTGGTTTCCAAAGTGAAAGGAAAAACAAATGCAAGTACAGATTTTTGTGGGAGTAATTGTCTCTTAGGGGATGGCAAAATTGGGGATGGTACAAAATAAGCGTCTGAGTAAGGATGCTTTCCAAGATCACTTTCAAGGTCAGTATGGTATTTTATGTGCTGCTGAAATTGACATTGCACCATGGTGTATTTCTGTCTGGTGATTGAGTTAATCTTCATTGCAAGCATAGATAATTTTCCTTCAGGTATAGTCGTTTATTTATAGAAAGCTGTTAATTTAATTACTTTTAGTTAGTATCATTTCTCTTTGATGCTAATAAACAAATTTTTCCACATTTTAAAATCTCTCAAATCTTTACAATTAATAATGCATCTTGGTTAATTGGCACTCTTCTCTTTTCCTCCCTAGTAAAATATGTTATTCCTTTATCATTTTTTTAATCTGTTGTTTCCTATTTTCTTGTTATAACATGATAGTGTATTTTACAATTGGTGGCAATGAATATTCAATTAATACAGTAGTGTACATTACACTCAAAATTCCTGACTTATGCTAGTTTTTAAACTATATTATATTATGATTTCTATATTTATATGTTGTCTAATTTTGGCTAGTATACTCTGAACCACTTGAAACATGGGACTATGTATTTTATCTTTATATTCCACCATGGAACTTGCATATAGTAAGCACTTAAAGGTAGAATGAATGGTAGAATTTACAGCTATTAGACACCCAATGCTTGCTTGTTGATTAAAGGCTCATAATAAATAGAAAATCACTTACAGGAAGTAGTTTCTGATCACATCATCTGTGCCTGATGATGAGTCCATGCATCTAGGCATTGGAATAGTACTCTTCAGCTTTTGAATAGTTATTACATACCTTTCTGATCCATCTAGTGCTTAATCTATTAAGTTTTCACAGAATTGTGCTGTCTCTGAAAATTCTTAGATCATATTTTACTATATGACTTATACATTAAGTATATATACATATATACATTATATAATCTTTATGAATGAATGTTTATAATAGCTTGGGTTTTTTATAGTTCAAGTATTTTAGAGTGTTCAAATGTGTCACTATTTCTTTAGTTTATTGCTGTGGATTTCTTTATTTTATTGCTGTATGCCTAGTTCCTAGAACAGTGTTTAGCACATAGTAGGTATTCAGGTGTTGAATGAATTAGAAATTGTAACACACTCTGTCTTCTTGGGGAGAGGAAAAATATCAGTATTTCAAAAATCTTTAGATTTGGTATATTGTTTGCAGTTTGATTCAGCTTTGATTTCCAAGTTGCATAAGTTTATCAGCTCTTAGGTTTGAAAGAGAGCTTAAAGCTATCTAGTCCAGCTTCCCTACAACAGAATAGCTAATGAATAGGTATCATATACACATCAGTAAGTAGAAACGACCAGTCACATAGCTGCGAAACACCACTGGGGAAAGGCTGATTCCTTAAGCACTTCCCCCCACTTAGCCCACCACTTAAGGCATTGTTTATAAAGGAACTACAGAAAATTATATTAAAGTGATTTGTGATGTCAGCTCAAAGGGCATAGAAGTGGCTTGTTGATTTGAGAGATCAAAACCTATTTTTCTATTGTGTTTATTCAGTCTGTTCTATCTTCTCTGCCAGTGGAAAATGGCCTAGGGATTAGAAGGAAAGAGGAATAAAGTATTTGAGCTGTGTTGGTGCCATATTGAAGGTTTTGAGTATTTTCTTGGTTTATTTGCTTAGTCCTGTTTTGATTAAAACCATATTTTGAGAAAAAGGAAACAAATGTTGGTAACTTAAATTTTGGATGACCATTTGGCATTGGCAGCAAGCAACTCAGTTGCTAATTAGTCCTTAGAGTGTTTCCGAGTAGTGCATGTCATTATTCTATATGTGGTTAACATTTCCAGTGATCTCATAACATAGTCTATCTGGTCCAAAAGGCCCTGAAGTATTATGGAGTCTAAAGTGAGACTATAACCATCCTTCTAGGTATTCTTTCTAGACAATTCTTACACACTAATTTATGAAGCTCTTCCTATCTTTAAGTCATGGTAATTTTTCTAAATAAAAATTTTCATTTTAAGTTGATATCTATTTCCCTAAACCTCCTAACCATTGTTACTACTTTGATATCTGGTGCCATCAAGAGCACATCTAATTCCCCTCACACATACCTATCTCTTCTTGAGTTGAGCTGACCTCCCCAGGCTAGATAATCTCCTTCATTGGCTTTTCACATGCCATGGCCTTAGGCCTTACCATCCTGATATCTTTAGATTAGCTGTATCTCTTTCGTCACATGCTATTTTTAAAACTTTAAGAAGAATATAATATGATTATAATCTTGGATGTACTTATAGAGGATGTTTTTTGAAATAAGTGAAGTTTTATGCATTATGAAGTAAAATTTTTTTCTTAACAGATAAAGCCAACCACCTCTGTTCAATTTATAGTGTTTGAAAGTGATCACTAGGTCTCTGTACCTAATATTATGATCTTTGTAAAGACTCAATGATCATTGCTTCTCCCTCAACTATAAACATTTACAAACAAGACATAAACCTGTAATTGTATAGCTAAGACAACACTAGAAAGATTGTTTAATAATGTATTTAGCATATGTAAATGAGATTAAAAAGTGAGAAGCTATATCATGTGTATTTGTTCCAGTCCAATTCTTGTTCATTAAAATGAAAGACAGTGTATTCTATCTTGGAACATTGCCATTATAAAAATAAATGTCAATATGTTTCATACTCGCAGAATTTTCGCACTTGTCTACAAAATGCCAAAGGATGACTACATCAGTACTTCTGGGTGTGGGCAGTATATTCACAGTAGAATGACATCTATCATAAAAATGTAAGATTGTGCTCTGTTTTAGGGGAGTTTCCCAGTTGCAACGGTTGATTACACCAAATGCCTTCTTGATCGTTGTATTCTTGTTTTTTTTTTTTTTTTTTTTGTTAGATGGAGTCTCGCTCTATCACCAGGCTAGAGTGCATTGGTACGATCTCGGCTCACTGCAACCTCCACCTCCCAGGTTCAAGCGATTCTCCTGCCTCAGCCTCCCAAGTAGTTGGGACTGCAGGCACGTGTCACCACGCCCAGCTAATTTTTATATTTTTAGTAGAGACGGGGGTTTCACTGTGTTGGCCAGGATGGTCTCGATCTCTTTACCTTGTGATCTGCCCGCCTTGGCCTCCCAAAGTGCTGGGATGACACGTGTGAGCCACCGCGCCCGGCTGATTGTTGTATTCTTAGATGAAAGGTAGGGACAGTCCATGTGTGGAAGTATTTGGTTTTTCTACCACTTACTCACTTCTTATTCGTTTTTCATTTCTGCTCTGGCTTTTCTAACTCTGTCTCTTCAATCATTTTCCCCCCTGCCTTGCTCTGAGCAGTGTGGGCATTACTTAGTCCTAGTGGCGGCATAGAGATTTAATAAGATTGGTGACCTCTGGGCCACAGTGACTCTTGCCTGCCTGACAGTTGTTAACTACTAGTGGGCTACATAGGTAAGAAAAGTGAAGGGACAGGATTTGCAGGAGCTGCTGAAACAGAAGGTGTTGAAGACTGCAGACCTCTCCGTCAACACCTTTTTTTTTTTTTCTTTTCTAGCACTGGGTTTGGATGGGTGGGTGCTAGTTGGTTTACAATTAAATGACAGGAAGGAATTGGTAGATTTACACTCTATTTTTCTTTAAAATTTATTTTCTTTTTTTTTTTTGAGATGGAGTCTCGCTCTGTAGCCCAGCCTGGAGTGAAGTGGCGCAATCTCGGCTCACTGCAACCTCTGCCTCCCAGTCCCGGTTCAAGCAATTACAGGCTTGTGCCACCATGCCCAGCTCATTTTTGTATTTTTAGCAGAGACGGGGTTTCACTGTGTTGGCCTGGCTGGTCTTGAACTCCTGACCTCGTGATCTGTCCGCCTCTGCCTCCCAAAGTGCTGGGATTACAGGTATGAGCCACCATGTCTGGCCCTAAAATGTATTCTTATACCTTTCTTTATTTATTTGTAGAGACAGAGTCTCACCATCTTGCCCAGGTTGGTTTTGAACTCCTGGGCTCAAGTGAGCCTCCTGCCTCAGCATCCCAAATGGGATTACAAATGTCAGTCACCATGCCTGGCCCAGTTTTCCTTAAACAAAAATGAAACCAAACCATAAGTATAGATAAATTTTATTACTAAAACTCTGTATTTATATACACACTTTTTTTTTTTGAGTAGTTTTAGGTTTATAGCAAAACTGAGTGGAAGGTACAGAGATTTTTCATATACCCTCTGCCCTAATAGCTGCATAGCCTGCCTCATCATCAACATCCTCCACCAGAGTGGTACATTTCGTTATAATAATTGAACTTATATCCACACATCACTTTTATTTAAAGTCCATTGTTTCCATTGGGATTCACTTTTGGTGTCACACATTCTGTGGTTTTGGACAAATGTATATTGACGTGTACCCAACATTATGATATCCTGCAGAGTAGTTTCATCGCCCTAAAAATTCTCTGTGTTCTGCCTATTCATTCCTTCCTCCCTGCTAACCCTGTCAAATCTCTTTACTGTCTCCATAGTTTCACTTTTCCCAAAATGTCAGAGTTGGAATTATATAGTATGTAGCCTGTGTAGTAAGCAGATTGGTTTCTTTTGCTTAGTAATATACATTTCAGTTTCTTTCATGTCTTTTCATGTCTTGATAGCCCATTACTTTTTAGGGACGAATAACATTTCATTGTCTGGATGTACCACAGTTTTTCCATTCATCTACTGCAGGACATCTTGGTTGCTTCCCGGTTCAGACAATTATGAGTAAAGCTGCTGTAGCTATCTGTAGGCAGGTTTTTGTCTAGACATAAGATTTCAGCTCTTTGGGGTAAATACCAAGGGGCTGCATCATATGTTAAGAGTATGTTCAATGTTCCAAGAAACCGCTAAACTGTTTTCCAAAATGGCTGTACCATTTTGCATTCTTGCCAGCCATGAATGAGAGTTCCTGTTGTTGCACATCCTTGCCAGCATTTAGTGTTGTTGGTGTTCTGGATTTTGCCATTCTAATAGGTGTGTTGTGGTATTGAATTGGTGTTTTAATTTGCATTTTTCTGGTGGAGCATCTTTTCATATGCTTTTCCCCCATCTATACAGCCTCTTTAGTGAGGTGTCTGTTAAGGTGTTTGGCCCATTTTTAAATCAGGTTGTTTTCTTATTGTGTTTTGGAGAGTTCTTTGTATAGTTTGGATAATGAGCCTTTAATCATTTGCACATATTTTCTCCCAATCTATGGGACAGCAGAAAATTTTAATTATAATGAAGACAAATTTATCCATTCTTTTTCATGGATTGCGCCTTCGGTATCATATCTAAAAAGTCATTGCTAAACCCTAGGTTATCTAAATTTTCTCTTATGTTATCTTGCAGGAGTTTTATAGTTTTGTGTTTTACACTTAGGTCTATGATTCATTTTGACTAAATTTTTGTGAAAAGTGTATGATCTGTGTCTAGATTAATCTTTTTTTATTGCATGTGGATGTCCAGTTGTTTCAGCACTATTTGTTGAAAACACTATTTTTGTTCCATTATGTTGTCTTTTTTCCTTTGTCAAAGATCAGCTGACTGTATTTATATGGATCTATTTCTGGGGTCTCTATTCTGTTCCATTGATCTATTTGCCTTTTCTTTCATCAAACCACACTATCTTGATGACTGTGGATTTATAGTAAGTCTTGAACATGAGTAGGGTCACTCGTGCAACTTTGTTCTTCATTTTTAATATTGTGTTGGCTATCCTGGGTTTTACCACTTTGGTTTTGATCACCTGTCTATACTATACCTGGTGGCTTAGTGGGGGTAAGGAGGAAATAGAATGGAATCAGAGAGCCTGTAGAAACCAGTGTTTTTCTTATCCTGTTCACAAATTGTTCTAGTTGGAGGTGCAGATGTAAAGCCACTGTATTAGTGTTAAGGACTGGGACCTGTAAAGTAGGTTTGGAGTACCAGGTTCTGGGAATGTTAGGGCTGATGCCATAGCTTCAAGGACAGTAGTGAAATGGAGACCTATGTAAAAATGCTAGTTCACTGTTTACACAATTAAGGCCAAGCCAGATTTGCAAGTTATGTATTTGCCTAATTTTGCTCCTGTGCAAGGTAGAAATGCTATGAGGTACATAAATTGCTTTTTAACTTTGGGACTTCTTAATACCAAATACATGGATATAGTTTTTAAAAATAATATTTTCTTATAGATGCTAATATCTTGTGACCTCTCAATACTTGATCTGATTGTCTGAATTCTACTTCTTGTGTATCTGGTCTGAAATAAAAAGATATTAGTCCCATACTGGTCTCATGTGTGTACAGTACCAGTGAATTCCTAGTGAGAATTAGTGAGAACAGACAGGTCATATTCAATTAAATAGCTTGCAATGCTTACAGATGTGTAACCATTTGTGATAAGGAGCTGGGGGGCATTATGGGTGGTGGAGGAGGTGAAGAGTTGTCTGTATTCTATTGGTTTTCTTTTCCCAGTACAGAATCAAATAGCTAATTCAAAGCAGTCAATTTCTGCCTTTCCCCATCCCCCAAAATATGATTTGTAATTTGAAAGTAGTTCCTGAAACTATTTGGCAAATATGTCTGTATTCCAGTTGTTTGAAAATGAGAGGTCTTTTGACTTATTTGACTTTTCCACTACCCCATTTACCAGTAAAACAAAGTAAGAGTTAGTATCAAGTAAGTCTTTGGTTAAGTCAGCAGTGATTTATGAAGAGCCCATTAACGTACTACACAGACAGAAATTGCACAGATTTGATGAATCAACAAAGCAGAAAATGGAAAATATATTTCAACCTCTGGGTTTTGTGAGTCAGGAAGAACACATCCCTGGCTATGGTTATGCTTTAATATTTGCAAAAAAGAGAGTAAACTGGTCTTCATTTGTGCTGATCTAAGCTGTGAAAATAGTGTCTGTGTTTTCTTCCTTCGAAAAGATTTCTGCAAACAGATCTCTAAGAACTGTACATAAATGATTGCGGAGATTGTTTTATTTATCCTAAAAGCAATATCCTTCCTGTCAAGGCCAGGGAATTAGATGGCAGAATCAATAACTTGGTAGCCATGTGGGACTTGCTAATACGCAAATTAGTACACGGTGCTTATGAGCATGATAAGCTTGCAAGGCAGTATTTCATTGCCATGAAGTCAAATGAAAGAATAGAGAGAAACAAGGTAATGGTATCAAATGTTATATGTCATCATCTTTCTAGGATGTTAATTCACACGTGCACTGGTGACTGCTGGCATCTATGTGCTACCTAGTTGTGTGACAAACTTCTGTGACAAATATCTGGTGTTGTGTGTGGTGTTTCCTAAGGCAAAAATCAGATAAAACTGGGTAGTTTTTTTAAATAAGAACTCATTTCCTTTGGCATGTAAGTAGGAAGCATTGGCAAATGGACACCCGACTGTGAGATTTATCTTCTGAAATGTTCTTTTCAGGGTTCTGTGTGGAAGCGTTAGCTGTGTCAATTAGTTGAGATGAAATGGCATAATTTATTGACCAGTGGTGATAACTTTTCTAAATACATTGCACATTTGGCGCCATATAACTGAATGCCTCACTAATTGCTTAGACTCATGCCTGCTTTTGTAATCAATGTGCTACTTGGGCAAGCCTCAGCAGAATTCATTGCCTCATTTTCTGTTTCAGACTGCTTAAATATTCACTGGGTGGTATCCCTGAAAATGACAGTCCCCAAGGAAAAGAATCGCTGTGTCAGAGGCCAGAGACCTCCTGTTTTCATGGCTTTGGAATTACTCTTTCATATTCTAAGAGGAAGGCAAAGCTGGCGATTTGCATTTAAAGCACTGCTCTCCAAGGTTACATTCTGTTGAGTATATCTTTTAGATAGTAGACATTTATCATAGTGTAGCTCTCAAATCTGAAATAGCTGCTGAAGGTATAGCCGAAGAGCTATCACAGTCCTGGGGAACAAGGTAATAAATCAGAAGCTGCCACATGATCACTATGGTAACCGTCAGACCCTGTCACACTGCAAGCATTATTGAAGGGTAGGTGCAACGTTCAGCTCATCAAGTGTTTGTGATCATAAACCTGTTGACATTATAGATTTAATATGACCATTTTATTGTTTTTGTGAATTGAAAGGTACTGCTATCAGACCCCGTTTTTGGGGGAAACAGTACCATATTTAAGGGACAGTTTCATTTTATTATTGTAGACCTGAACTTGTTGTCAATGTCAATTGGCATGATACGATAGTGTGTTCTTTTTCTTTTTAAAGGTGAAACCTAGTATTTCAGCATTGAAACTGAACATCTTTTCTAGTGAGACATTTTATGTTGAGTCGTACATGTAGACATATGTAATTAGGTACCCGCATTGATTTTAAAAATCTAAATTATATTTTAACTATTGTAACACTTAGCATTCAACACTTCTATTTGACACAATTTCAGTATGCATAATTTTCAGAAATAGAAATATGGCATCTTGGGATAATGCTTTCAGCCTCCTCTGTTTTTAAGTGTATGTACAAATTGTGTTTTGAAAATCTGATAACTTGACATTTAGATTTAGATATAGGGAGTATCTTGGTAAAATTGTTGATGAATTTATTGTGAAGCAATTATAAATATAATTAAATATAAGGCCAAGATTATTAAAGGTAGTATTTTCTATTATAAGAACTAATTGTGTATTCTCAGATTTGTAATCACAACTTTAGGTAAGTGAAATCATATATTTCCTAAGAGTGACATTCATATATCCAGTACACTTTTTATAAAAGTAATGAGCATTTTCAATTACATTTACTTATAATAAAAGGTAGTTTCTCAAAACTTTTAATAATACAATTGTTTAGTATTTTATTAAATCACATATATTCAAAAGTAAGGGGAGGAAAACCCCATGTTTACTGTAATGAACTTGTTAGTATTTTCACAATCATTACTGAATTTTTACCTCTTTTCTCCAACTGACTGAAAGGGCATTACAAAATGCTACTGGCAGTAACTACGGTAATCTCCTTGTGTGTGAGAGAAAAATTCATTAAGACCATAATAAAGCAGTCACTTCTACATATTCCTCATAAAGATCTGAAATTTTTTCCCTTCATTTCCCTCTTTTTGAAAGAATGATCCAACATTAATGTGCACGTGTTTGTCATTATATTCTTCAAAACATCATATCCAACTATAGGCAGGAATAATCCACTGTAAAAGTGTTGGAAGGCAGGAAAGGAGGCAGAAAAGAAGAGGGGACAGAGGGAAGGATGGATGAGTGTTTGAGCATTTCCTATCTCTTTGCCTGCACACTGCTTGAGTTCTGAATTAATGATTTAGTGCCTAGAAGAGGAAGAGGCACAGCAATACTTAGCAGTTTATTAAAAAGACTTCTCCCTGCCATACTTCTTTTTATTTGAATGGCAAGCCTGCCGCAGGGGCCTGCTGCTACTGAAATATAGTGGAAGTTGGTGATATGGCCAGCACAGCAGAGTCTGAACTGGGTTGTGAGTGCTATTTCATGTGGGATGCTAAGCAGCTGTCAGATAGGGAACTACTTTGCACCACTTATGGGCTAGAGTTAAAGCAGCAGGCTGGAGGGGAAAAACTTGGGCCAGTCAGCTAGATTTGGAGGCTCCTTCTGAAAGGGTATTTATAAAGTCTGCAGTTATGTGTTACTTGTTATTTTCACTCAGTTCACCTTTCCTTGTCTGTTTCCATTATTCTTATTAGATTAAATTCCTATTCAGAGGCACTTGCTCTAGCAATCACATACTTTATAAAAACAAGTTTGGGGAAAATACATTATGAAGGAAGGGGAGTAATACTGCTCATTTTCCATGTGCTAGGTATTCTGGTAGGTGTTTGCATATGTTCTTGCTTTAATACTGAGAGCAATGCCAGGAAGTGTTATAACTCCCATTTTACTTATTAGGAGGCTGAGCCAAAGAAAGATTTAAATACCTTCAAAGTGGCAGAGACGGGTTTTCCACTCAACATCCCCTGACACCAAAGCCTATGCTGCTTCCATTTTTGTCTGTGTTATTTGCGTGAGTGTTCAAGAAGACATAATTTCTTCCAGTTTCATTGGTGTATTTTTGGGTGTCTATTGTGTAGTTTGTCACTTCTTAGAATTGCACTCAGTTTAGTAAATTCTTTGGTGCTGGCTATGTGCCAGACACTGCCTGGTGCTAGAAAAATCTATCAAAATTTAGGCCTTTGGAATTCTATTTGCTGTCACTATTAAGATAACTAAAGACAGGCAAGTACCCTTTGCTCTAGTGGAGGCAGATTGTGGTAAGAAACACACTCTGGCATCATATTTGGGGTTTGATTTCAGGTCCCACTCTGTATTAACTCTTCAATTTTGAGTCAACAATTTAAGTCTTTGAACTAGTTCCCTCATTTGTTCAGAAGTGATAACATCTGCTTCATAGTGTAGTCGTGAGGATTGAGTAAGGTAATGGATGCAACAGACCTGGTGTGGAGTGGGTACTGCTCGTCTTCATTTTTATTGCTGACACTTCTGGTTAGAAAACAACTAGAGGTTTAGGTTGGAGTATGCAAAAAAATTTTAGGTCAGTATTCATCTTCATGTGACTCTACTGTATACATTCATTGATTATGTATGTGACATTCATACTAATGTATTGTGTTGATATCTTATTTCTCATTAGAGATTCATTTCTCTGAGTTTATACATTTGAAACTAAGCAATTATCTTGAACACTGAAGGCAAAAGTGGAAGAGCAAATGAGAAGTGCTATTCTCCCCAAACCTAAATCTGCCATTAAGCCCTGAGGGTCTTCCACCCTCCAACCTAGAGTCTGTGCAGAAGAGTCCTGTTGATGAATCAGGAAAGCATATGCTAATGTGTTAATCCCTAGCATTTCTCCAGGAGTCAGATCACACCTCCCTGTCTGTTTCTGTTGATCTGCTTGCTTTTGTTTTCCTGTTCCTCTGACTCTTCAGAGCAGATTTATACATTTCACCTGACATTACAGCGCAGTGTCAACCTGGCCTTTCAAGGGTGGGCAATTGTTTCATTTCACTGGGTTTGTTATTACATTGGCTTTTTAAATGGTAGGCTTCTGATTCTGCAGCCTCAACACCTGGGCAACTCCAGGTAGTGTGTAATAAAGGCTCAGCTCTCTACTGGTATAGAGAGAGGCAGGTGGTCTGCTGCCAAGGGCCACTATACTGAGGTATTTCAGTTATGGCTTCATGTTATTGCCAGAGTGATTAGCATTCTTTTGAAAGGATGGTAATTGATTAACTGAAAGATCTTTCTCATAATCAAGGGTTAGTTTAAAAAATATTAGAAAGGCTTCAATTTTATAAAAACTTTAATAAAAGTTATGTCCAATGCTGTCAATTGCCTGTGATTGCCTGTGTTTTGGGGTTTTGGTGTTTGTGTGTGCTTTTAATTTCAAAGGCTTATGGATGTGTGTAGAAAGCAGGTAAAATTCTGTAGGTTTTGTTATTTCAGGTAATGCTTAAACAGAATTGCCATGGTGAAGCATGTTTTGGTAGAAATTCTGATGACATTGACTTTTCCTTTATCATCCTTATTTAATTATGAACAACCAGCAGCAGCTTGAAATTCTTTTTTCTATTAGATGAAAACTCACCCTTGTACTGAGATGTTTTACTTATCCTGGCTTTGTGTTTCCAATAGTAAACAAATAAGCATTACTGTTTTCAGAGCCAGACTAAGATTAAAGCAAGGCTTTATGTTTAGGAATCTTGATGTCTTAGTCATACTAGCACATTATATTTTGCTTCACTGCCTTCTCAGAAGTTGAAATGAAAAAAAAATGCACTATTGATGAATTGGGGAATTATGCGATGAAGTGGTTGGGGTGTGTGTGTTTTCTAGTTTCATAAGGCGGAAGCTCATATTAATGATTTGTGACCTTTCTCTATAAGCATTCAATGGTATTAACTTTGCACACTTCTTTAGCTGAATCCCATAGTTTTTTGTGTGGTAATTTCATTTTGTTTTTATTTAGTTCAAAGTATATCCTAATTTTCCTTGATGCTTCCCATTTGACCTGTGGATTATTTAGATATGTGTTTAGTTTCTAAATATTTAGTTACTTTCCAGATACCTTTTTGTTACAAATTTTTAGTTTACTTTTGTTATGGTAGGAGAAAATACTTTGTAAAGTTTAATTTTTTATTTGTAAAAATGTTTGATTTTTAAATTTTTATTTCTTTTAAGAGATGGGGTCTCACTCTGTTGTCCTGGCTGGAGTGCAGCGGCTCAATCACAGCTCACTGTAACCTCAACTTCCTGGGATCAAGTGATCCTTCCATCTCAGGCTTCCAAGTAGCTGGGACTGTAGGCATTGAGACTGTACCTGGCTAATTTTTTTTTTTTTTTATACTTGGGGGCCTCATTTTGTTGCCCAGGTTGTGTAGGACTCCTGATTTCAAGCAATCCTCCTGCCTTGGCCTTCCAAAATGCTGGGATTACAGGCTGAGCCACCATGCCCAGCCTTTTTGTTTGTTTGTTTTACAGCCCAGGATATGGTATCTTTGTGAATGTTCTGTCTTCACTTGACAAGAGTACCCAGTCTGCTGCTGTTGGTATAGTGTGCTATAAATGTCAGTTAGGTAAGGTTAATTGGTAGTATTGTTTAGTTTTTCTATATCTTTCCTGATTTTACTTTTTTCTGTTAGTTTTTGAGAGGAGTGTTGATATTTTCAATTATAATTATAAACATATTTATATTTTCTGTTCTATCAGAATTTGCTTTATGTATTTTGGTGTTCAGTTGTTAGATATATATACAATTAGATTTTTGTCTCCTTGTTGAACTGATACTTTCATCATCATGAAATGATCCTTTTTATCTTCAGTTTTGTTTGTTTTGGTATGTATTTTGTCTAATAGTAGTATAGCTACTCCAGCTTTCTTTTGATTAGAGTTTGCATGGTATATATTTTTCCTTTTCACTTTTAAACCACTTATATAATTATATTGAATGTGGGTTTTCCTAGACAGCACATAATTGGATCTTTTTTTGTTGTTGTTCAGTCTCACACTCTATCTTTTACTTCATATGTTTAAACCATTTACATTTAGTATAATTACTGGTATGGTTGAATTTAGGTATAATATTTTATTCCTGTTTGTGCCTTCTGTATTTTCCTTTCTCTGATGGTCCTTATTGCCTTCTTTTGTATTATTCGAATCTTTTAGTATTTTATTTACCAACTTTCTTTTTGGCTTTATCTCTTTACCGTCATGCACTGCATAACAACATTTTAGTTAGTGATAGACGCACATATGACAGTGGTCCCATAAGATTATAATTATATTTTTACTGTACCTTTTCATGTTTAGATACACAAATACTTACCATTGTGTTACAATTGCCTGCAGTGCTTAGTACAGTAACGTGCGATATAGGTTTGTAACCTAGGAGTAGTTACACCATCTAGGTTTGTGTAAGTATGCTTTATAATGTTCACACAAAAATGAAATCACCTAACAATCTATTTCTCACAAAGTATCCCTGTCATTAAGCAATGCATGACTGTATTTTTTTTTGTTACTGTATACACAGCTGACTTTGGCAATAAACTTAGAACCCTTACAACCATATTGTTCTTTTTCCTTTCTACCTAAACAGTGTTAGAATCTTTGCTTTCAAGTGTCATATATATTTTTAAATCCTTTGAGGAAAAAAAATCTATTCTACTACTTATTATTTCTTTGCTCTTCCTTCATTCCTTATTTTCCTTTAACATGAAGAACTTCTTTAAGCATTTTTCTTATCACAGGGCTGCTGGTGACAAATTCTATTTCCTTTCCTTTGTCTGAGAATGTTTTATTTTGAGTTTATTCCTACAGTATATTTTCACTGAATAAAATCCTGGTTTGAGAGTTCTTTTCCTTCAGTGCTTTACAAATCTTGTTTCATTTTCTTCTGGCCTCCATGGTTTCTTATGAGAAATCTATAATAATTTGGATTCTCCTTTATCTGTAATGTTCCTTTTTTTTCTGCTGCTTTTACCAATTTGATTGTAATATGTCTGTGTATGGTTTTCTATGAATTTATCTTGTTTAGGGTTCATTGGGCTTATTGAATGTATTAATCAATGTTTCAACAAATTTGGGATGCTTTCAGTCATTTTTTTTTTAATCTTTAAATCTTTTTTTCTGCATCAATATCACTTTCCTTCTGAGAACCAATTAACACAGTAGTTTGAACTTTAGATATTGTCCCACATACCTCTGAGATTCTATTCATGTTTTCAAACAGTCATTATTCTCTCTCTTCTTCAGACTAGATAATACCCATTGATTTATTTGGAAGTTCACTGGTGATTTCTTTTTTCATTTCAATTATTCTATTGAGACAATTCATTAAATTCATACATTTCAGATGTTGGGTTTTTTTTGTTTATTGTTTTTTGCTCTTGGACCCAAATAAAGAGATGAGGAAGAAAACAAAACTTGTATACTTGCTTATTTTGTATTTTTTATCATTGTTACAATTGTTGCTCTAAAATCTTTGTTAATTTTAACATCACGATCATCTTGGGACTAACGCCTATTGTTTGTTGATTTCCTTGTGAAATGGTTAGATATTTTTAATTCTTTGTATGTTGGGTGAGTTTAGATTATATCCTTGACTTTTTGAATATTAGTTTATGAGACTCTGAGTCTTATTAAAATCCTCTTCAGAATGTCGATTTCTTTTCTTAAAAAATACTTTTTTATACTTTAAGTTCTGGGGTACATGTGCAGAATGTGCAGTTTTGTTACATACATATACACATGCCATGGTGGTTTGCTGCATCCATTAACCCATCACCTACATTAGATATTTCTCCTAATGCTATCCCTCCCCTAGCTCCCCACCCACCGACAGGCCCTGGTGTGTGACGTTCCTCCGTGTGGCCATGTGTCCTCATTGTTCAACTCCCACCTATGAGTAAGGACATGCGGTGTTTGGTTTTCTGTTCTTGTGTTAGTTTGCTGAGAATGATGGTTTCTAGCTTCATCCACGTCCCTGCAAAGGTCATGAACTCATCCTTTTTTATGGCTGCACAGCATTCCATGGTGTATATGTGCCACATTTTATTTATCCAGTCCATCACTGATGGACATTTGGGCTGGTTCCAAGTCTTTGCTATTGTGAATAATGCTGCAATAAACATACATGTGCATCTCAAACTGGACCCCTTCCTTACACCTTACGCAGAAATTAACTCAAGATGGATTAAAGACTTAAACGTAAGACCTAAAACCATACAACCCCTAGAAGAAAACCTAGGCAATACCATTCAGGACATAGGCATGGGCAAAGACTTCATGTCCAAAACACCAAAAGCAATGGCAACAAAAGCCAAAATCGACAAATGGGATCTAATTAAACTAAAGAGCTTCTGCACAGCAAAAGAAACTATCATCAGATGGGAGATTTTTTTTTTTTTTTTCAGCAAGCAATCAACTCAGGTTTTCCCACTTCTATGGGCAGTTTGCCCATTGTCAGTTCTGTTTTTAAAGACTTTGCTGTGCTGTTTTGGGTCTACTTTACACATTCATCACTCTGGGATTTATGTGGCACTTAGGTGGTGACTTTTATTCTCATGGTGGCTCTGTTCTTAGTCTTTGCTGGGTTTGTTTGTGCAAGTGTAGGTTGACTGGAGTGAGCCTGGGACACTCAGACTTAGGTCTTCTAAGCATTAGAGGATCCCCTTCTCCAGGAATTTCCTCATTGGATTTTCCCCAGTACTTTCTGATTCATAGGGGTCTGTTTCACTGTTTCTCTGCCTAAAAAAATGAGTGTTTCTCTCAATTTAGCACCCTGTGCTATTGTAGAGTTCTGCCCATCTGGGACTGCCCTTGAGATGAAACAACCAGACAGAGAACAGGGTGGGTGGGAAAGTGAAATGCTGATACTCTCACATTCTTAAGGCCATTTGGGTTCATTTTCCCAGTTCCTTTGAATTAGGAGATGGGTTTTCTCTCTAGATTTTCAATGCTGTATCACAGCTGTGGCTATAGTGCAACTCTGTGACTGCAGGTGGCTTCTGAGCAGGACTGGTAGAGACAAGAGAGAGAGAAAAAAAGGAATCCCCTTTATACTGTCTTGTTTGCTGAAGTTCATTTTCCAAGTCTTCTGGGCAGCAAGAGAGGGGCTTTCTCTTGAAGTTTTTTGCCATATGTACACAGAATGCATTTCTGGGACTCAGGCACACCCCTAAGTGAAAGCAGGAATATAAAGGAGGTGGGGGGAATACAGAAAACCACCACTGTACTAGCTGTCCCCAAGTTTTAACTTGTCTTTATAAATCACCTGCTATTATTTTTGTCAGTTTGCAAGCAGTTTTATTTTGTGTTTTTCCAGAGTTTTTAGTTACCAGTGGGAAGAGGGAGAGGGTGTGGGCTTACTCCACTTTGGCCAGTATGAGAAAACCAAAATAATGTCTTTAAAATTAAAGATTATTTTGCCAATATCAAAATACATGTTATACAAAATTTTGGAAATATAAAATTAGAAGAAGAAAACTATCTGTATTCTTACAACTTAAAACTTAATACTCTTAGCCCTTTAATGTATATCTAGTTCACTTTTTAATGTACAAGTTACTTTTACAGAGGTGACCATATATATACAATTTCGTATATTGCTTTTTTACTGCAAAAATGGAAGCTTTTTTGGTGTTATTAAAATTTTATGTAAAATGAGTTTATAATGAGTATGTAATAGTTCATTGCATACATTAATTATAGTTTATTCAATTATTTTTCTATTGTTGGATTAAAAATATTTTCTACCATAAAATTACTGTGATTAACATCTTTGTGTATAAACATTTCCATAAGTTTACTTTTGAGGATATTTTTATAGATGTATAGTTACTAAGCCAGAAGGTATGAATGTTAAAGGATCTGTTGCATAATTCTAAATTATATAATACCACCATCTTACCAAAATACTATTCTACTAGCAATGTGTAAGAGTGCCTAATCCTGGCAATTGAGGTTGCTTCACACATCTTTCAGTAACCCATATCTTAATCACGGCTCTTTCATACCCGAACCCCATGGACTTAATCAGGATTCTACTTATTACCCAGAACACTCACATTGCTGCACCTTGTAAGTTACATGCTGTTCTCACCTTTCTCAGATTAGGTTACTCATTGACCTGGTGCAATAATGACTTGTGCAAGAGTTGTACTATCTGAGCCAGTTATGTGGCAAGCACAATTAGGACCACCTCACTTCCCTGTTTAAAACCTCTTGTTAGCCCTCCATTGCCTATGGGAAAAAGTCCAAGTGTCTTAACATGCCATGAAGATGCTTCACCATCAGCCTTATCCATTTGTGATGTTCTCTTGCTAGTTTTGCCCCCATGATTTGTGCTTTAGTCATACTAAAACTGTTCATATCATGCTGTTTCCCACCTTCATATCTTTACTATGCCCTTTTTTTTTCCCCATGTCCTCCCATCTCCTTTGTCCCCCCAACCCATGCCACATAATTTGCAACCCAGACAGAGGCATAGACACACACTTGCAAGCTCCTCGTTGTCATGCTTCCTTCAGGGTGTTCTTTTCCTGAACAAACCCTTTGTACTACTCCTCTTACCACAGTAGCATATATGTTTGTTTTAGCTGTATTCAAATAATCTGCCTATGGGTTCCACCCCCCTTCAATGGATTATGAATCTGTAAACTAGAAATGTTTTATTTTATAGCCTCAGAGACCAAAACAATGCCTGGTACATGCCAGAAATTTAAGATTGGTTAGTTGAATGAATGCATATATGCATACATGAATGAATATCTCTGAAATGTCCTTGTTTCAGATAATTCTTAATGTGCAGTAGTGCCTTACAGGAACATTCTATTTTTTATTGTTTTCCCAAGTGCAAATGTCTGTCACTGGTGATGGTGGTCAGATATGTAGAGACAGTTCTCTCAGCACTGCTTTATTATAAACCACAGTTCTTGATCTACAGGGTTAAAATGGATACAGATTCATGTGGCTTGAACAGTTATTTCTGGCTCTGGAATATGAAAACAGAACATAAATCTTTACATATTTTATATTAACTGGTGTTCTATGCTGCAGAGTCAATGATTTTTGTCTTTCTCTTTATTCCACACTTACTAGTCTTCTACCCTTTGAAGTTCTACATTTTGTGCCTATGAAAACAGCAATATTTATGATTGAGGTTATCTTATAATTGGCCAGTTGAAAATTATAAAAATGATTTGGCCTCACTCTTATAAAGCAAAAAACAGATTAAAAATGTAAAATACATGGGTGGCCATTTGGAAAAGGGCATTTGAGGCAATGTAATTGTTCAGCTATCAAAATATTGCTTATGTTTTTTTTTTCTCTAGCCCCAATCCACTAGGGGAAAAACAAGGCACATCCTTGTTTTTCGTTTAAATACATATTTAGTTAAATACAGTTAAATACATATTTTAATAATTTTCAAGTAGGAATTTAATTTAAGGTAAACAAGTCATGAAATAAAATGCAGATGAATACATAAAGGAGAAGTAAAGTGGGACAAAATCTCACCAGATTTTCCAGCTGTGTGTTTTCTCTCCAGATCTTAACTCATTAATGTGGACTAAAAGTTATTAGTCAGCATTGTCATCTTCATTCTTTACCCATTTTTCTTCCAGCATTCTTTTCCATAATCATCCTTCCAGAAGTACCATATCTTAGGGCAGATATCTACCTTTGTCTTCTCCTAATTCCTAAAATAGTTGTAGTAGCTTTGAATTGTTTTTAGGTGGTCACAGGTTGCTAAGGATCTGATTCCAGCTCGTGCTACTTTTGGATTTTGTAGTAGTCTGTTCTCACACGGCTATAAAGAACTACCTGAGCCTGGGTTGTTTATGAAGAAAAGAGGTTTAATAGACTCACAGTCCTGCAGGCTGTACAGAAAGCATGGCTAGGAGGCCTCAGAAAACTTGCAATCATGGAGGAAGTTGAAGGGGAAGCAAACACGTCTTACCATGGCAGAGCAGGAGTGAGAGAGTGAGTGAAAAGGGGGAAGTGCCCAAACTTTTAAACCATCAGATCTCACTTACTATCATGAGAACAGCAAGGGGGAAATCCACCCCTATGATCCAATCACCTCCCACCAGGCCCCCCCGCTGACGTGTGGGTATTACATCTCAGTTTGACATGAGATTTGGGTGGGGACACAGAGCCAAACTGTATCAGATGTCAATTTAAGTTTGGGTTTAGAATCTGCTAGGTGATTTGGACTGTAGTACCCATCCAGAAATTATTCAATACCTATAATATGCCAGATATAGTACAGGCCTGGAAGATACAGGTGAGAAGACAGTATATGCTCTTTCAAAACTCACATGGGAAGCAGCCCAGTGAGGACATGACCAAGCCAACATGCAGTTGCAAATCACACTGTCATGTAAACTATAAGGGTGAATGAAAGGTTTTTTCAAGGGCACGTAGAGAAAACTTAATGGATCAGGGATGATTTCAGTGGTGAGAACTTCAGCTGTTGATGTTACTGACACATAATTTGGGATATTAAAAATCCTATGCTTTTGGATATGGGTATTCAGCTCTTGGCACGGGGTTTCCAAGTATGATCTTGCTACTGTATACCTTGCTAATCTAAAATCTGTCCTCTCTTTCTGGCACTGCATCTTCAACATTATAGAGCATCCAAATAACTCTTCTTGGAATCTTTGATGAAATGCATAAGGCATATTTATGCAGGCCAGCTAGCTTGGTTCCCCTCCCTCTCTGTATTCTCAGGCCAAGAGGGAACAGTATTGCCATCCGTGTTTGCTGAGAGCAACTGCCAGAAGGAGTATTATAGGAGTCATGTTATTAAGGTGTGGTTACATGCAGCCCAGCTAACTCTGGCTATTGACAAATTGTAGTTTAAATTACTCAGGAGTAAAAGAGGGAACTTTTGCCAGCAGTTTTGAATAGGGGAAAAGTGTTGTCTCTAGATAAATTAGAATTTAAAGCATGCTGCTTTTCCATTTTAGAACTGGTCCTTGTAGCTGTGTACGTTTTGTTTCTCTCCTAGCCAGGTGAATGACACTCTGTAGCACTCCAGGAAATTGGGGTGAGTCTCTTGGATCCAGTACCATGGTTAACACTGAATAACTGCAGATGCCGTGTTGGTTCCACATTCTCCCCTTGAACCACCCATCTGTAGTAGGAATCACATCTCAAACATGAGTCTGGTTTTATGGATCACTTCTAAGATAGGTTCTTAAGATACAGGTTATTTTTTTTCCTTTGTTGTGGGGACACATTTAAGCCATATAACCTATTTATTCTTTGGTGTAGTCAGGAGTAGTGTAGACTTTAAATTCAGAATGTTGGGTTCCAATTCTGGCTCTGTATAACCTTGTTAAGTAACTTAACCTCTCTGTGCCTCATTTTCTTGATGAAGGGGGAATAAAGTAATCACTTACTGTAAGAATTAAGTAAGCTGACATTCACAAAATACAAAAAACAGTACCCAACATGAAAAAGTGCTCAAGAACTATTAGAAATCGTCAAAAATTAACCAAAATTGAATTACCTGGCATCAAAGAGAATAACAGACATAGGTATGATTAGAGTTTTTTTTGTTTTTTTTTTTTTTGATAAAAGTCTGCATAGCTATTGAGAATTGTTTGGTTGGAGACATTGTATATATAAAATTGAGAAAAATGTGATTCTGATTGCAATTTTTGCCCATTTTCCTCCAGACTTTCATCTACACTGTCCCTGCTTCATTTCCAGGGGAGCATTTCTCCCCACTCTGAAATCTCACATTCATTTATCACAGTGAATAATTACGTAAGTCAGTTAAGATCACCTTTGAGATTTTGTACTCCAGTGGTTGTCTGTGGCAGTTTTTTGAAAAAGTCTCATCTTAAACATGTTTTACAAATAAAACTTGCTTAGCAGAGTTTTGGTTTGTGTGCACTTTATTTCTTTGGAGTGCCTTTTTCTTTTTGCTCGAAATTACCATTTTGTGAATTGAGGCTCTGCCTTTGTTTATAAACATTGCTTTGTGAGGCTTTCTGCCCTTTTCTTTTTTCTGTGTTTCATGTCTTATCAATTGGAGAGGATAATTTTTCTTGATAATAAAACTAAAGGCTTTAAGCAAGTTTAATTTGGTTTCTACACGGTCTTATCCTTGCATTCACGTATGAGCAGAAAGTGAATCTTAGGTCCAAGGGCAATTGTTGCATTACATACAGTGAGCAGCTTTAAGAGCAATATAAGGCTAATTTTCATTTGGTGAAATTTGGCTGATTTTTACTTCTATAATAATTCTTTAAAGTCACTAGGTTAGCTTCTTTTCTGAGTGCATTGTTATATATGTGGGTTGTGAATCTATGATAAAGCTTTTTGCGTCAGTCTGTCTCATTGTATAAACTGTTCAAACTAAAAGGAACTTTTTATTATGTCTCATTTTAGTGTCCATTCAGGAAAGCCCAGGAAATATGTCCTTTGATTCACTTGAATACATCTCATGTCAGAGTTAACAAGCCATCCCTGTAATGCCCTTGCCACAACATATATGGTAAATCTCACTTAAAAGATCAAAGGATGCTTAGTAGGGAGACAACATTACATAGCAGTTATTCTGAAATTTTCGGCAAGGGGTCACCGTAGTTGCAGTACAATCTCATTCTTTATGCATATATGAAATTCAGTATTCATAAATGCATCTTCCCAATGTTTTTAGATACTTTTTACCTAAATTTAAATATATTCTTCTGTGTCTTCTTTAATAATGGACTTAATTTCTATTGAGTCCCCTAAATTTTCCACCTCTTTTGCACCTCTCAGCTTTGAAGACACTCAGCTTATGTTTGAATGATCCTTGGTTTCTCCAGTTTTTCTTTCCTTCCTATAGAGTATATTGTTAGATATTGTTGCTGAGTTGTTATTCTACTAAATGGGTTAAAGTTGACAGTGTTCTGTTTTGCTGTTTTGTTTACCTCAACATTTATTAAATATTATTCTGTGCCATGATGAAAATGCACAAAAATATAAGATGGGTCCCTGCTTTTGAGATTCAAAACAGTGGTGGACATATCTGTTAAGGTATCATTTCTGTGCATGGTAGTAAGTGTAATGTTGGAGGCATGCATGGAGTATGCTGTGAGAGCTCACAGCAAGGTCTCAAAGGTGGTCAGGCTAGCCAGTCAGGAAAGCCACTTGGAAGGAGTTAAGTCTTAAGGGAGAGCTGGAACGAGAGGAGTGAGATGAGCCTAAGGCCTGCTGGAATGTTAGCCAATGGGAACAGTATCATGTGGTAAGATAAAAGAGTACAGATGGGTCACTACAGGATGTGGTTAGTTTTGCTATAATGTTCCTAAAAATCACTATTGCAAAATTGTACAAGGTTAAAAAAAACCCATGTGGCATATGGGGAAAAGGGAGTCAAGGGCAAAAACATTAGAAAGTTGGTCATTGACATGAGAAAACATAATAAACATGATAGCACAGTTTTGCACATGTGTGTGTGCTTTTTTTTTTTTTTTTTTTCATATTCCTACATGGTTTGCTTCTGCAGGCACAGTTTTCTTTGTTCACCTAGGTGTTTTCCAAAGATGAAATTGCATATGAGCAAGTGCGAAATTTGGTTATGCTTCAATTGTTGCCTAATGTAACAATTGCATTGGAACAAATTCATGTTTTCAAAGCAACTGCTATAGCAGAAGTGTCTGCATCTTGTATTGTTGCAAGGTAACAAGGGAGATAGGGAGTGGCAGGAAGTGAGTTAGGGTGGAGTTCCAGGCTAGGGCTTCCATTCACATCTCCAACATCTTTTTAATACTTTGTCATTTAAAAAGGACATCAGGGCTGGGCACGGTGGCTCACACCTGTAATCCCAGCACTTTGGGAAGCCGAGGCGGGCAGATCATGAGGTCGGGAGATTGAGACCATCCTGGCTAATAAGGTGAAACCCCGTCTCTACTAAACATATGAAAAAAATTAGCCAGGCCTGGTGGCACATGCCTGTAGTCCCAGCTACTCTTGATACTGAGGCAGGAGAATCGCTTGAATCCGGGAGACAAAGGTTGCAGTAAGCTGAGATCGCACCACTGCACTCCAGCCTGGGCGACAGAGTGAGACTCTGTCTCAAAAATAATAAAATAAAATAAAATAAAATAATATAAAATAAAATAAAATAAAATAAAATAAAATAAAATAAAATAAAATAAAATAAAATAAAATAAATAAAATAGTTTTTAGGATTGCTTTAAACCTCTAGCAAGTCCTTTTGATCTTTCATGACCATACTGCTTTTCCTGAAGAGAAGAGAAGACCGTTCTCTTCTCTTCAGCATTCTCACATGTACTGCAATGGGAATTTTTACCATGATCCTAATATCTGTTTCTGACCCTTGTTACTCCTGAGAGTTGCCCTCTGTTGTCTGTAGCCTGGTCTTCCTTTGCTTTTTCATCATTTCCTGTCAGGTATTTTCTGCATTAATGTGGGGGCTGCTAAGAATTCAGTTCTGTGCTACAACTGCTACCCAAATCCTGATTTACCTTGAGTGGTTACTTTGCTGTTGAATGGTTTCTAAGCAAATTGGTCACTCATACTTCATGTTGCTGCTGGCACGTTTAGATGGAAGAGGTCATACTTTTTGAAAATTTATCCTTCAGTACTCCCTGTTTGAATCTTTGTTTAGCAAGTAAAATTAAGTAGACCTGAGAGGAGTTAGAAGTTCTTTTAGATCCACTTACCTGTTTAGAAAAATAAGACCTTGCATATCTTAGCTGATGATCAGTCGATTGTAATAGATAGCTGTTAGTATTTCCTGAACATGTAGCATAATGTCAGGTACAGAGTTACATACTTTACCTGGATTATCTCATTTCTTCCTCATAATGGCCTTAAGAAGTAGGTACTATTATCTTCATTTTACATGAGGCAGCTGAGACTCAGGAAGTTAAGTGACTGGCTGAAGGTCGCGTAGATACCTGTTCAAGGTCACATGCTGGAGCATCCGTAAGAACATGCATAGCTTGATCCAGATAACCCAGGCTTTTACCTATTGCAGCATAATTGAAATAGTGTGCTTCAGACATTATAGGCATCTTGAGCTTGTATTGGGAAGTGGGCACACATCAACGTGAAGGGCCATGATGTTTGGATAATTTTCAAATCAGATCTACTAGCAACTAAGTCTCTATACTTAGCTACATAAATGTAGCATTCATCACATTATATGATTGAGCATTCACTCAGAATATTTCAATAGTACTTGAATTGCTATCAGCTAAATTTTCTATTCGTACTTTTGCTAGGCATTTTTGTTAGCTAAACTCTCACTGGTAGTAGCAGCATAGATAGAGAGGGGAGAAGCCTGGCCCCTTCCCTGTTACAGGTTTAGAGTCGTTCCATATATCAGAGTATAAAGTCACACTACACCTGCTAGGGTGAGGATGGGGGGCATTTGTGCAATATAACTATAAGAAATGTGCTCAAAAATGAAATGTGTGACTGTAAATAAATAAGTTAGCTACTTGGTTCTGTGGCTAAGAAGCAAAATAATAAAGATGGAAATTGAAAAAGAGGAAGCTCCAACTTCATCTCTTGGAGGGATCACAGGGATCAGGTTTTGCCCCTTCAGTGTCTGTGCTTCTACTGGTGGCACTTGGTAACGGGGCATTATGACATGGATGGGGATGTTGTGATGTGCTGTCTTCTAAGTACCTATATTTCTAACCAAAGGTTTGACCTCTAACAGCTAGACATGGGTGAAATTGGATACCAAGCTTAATGGGTAATCTTGACAGTTTACAATGCCTTTCCAGGTGTATTATTTTAGTTATTGCGATTCTGTGGGGTAGGCAGGAAAGCTATTATTCTCATTTAATAGGTGAAGAAATGGAGATTCTGAGAGGGTTAATTGACTTGCCCAGGGTCACAACCACTAAGTGATAAAGCTGTGACTTTTGAAATACTATCTTTTATGTCCTAATCCAGGGGATTTTCTTGCTCTCCTATGTTCTTCATAATGTATGAGACAGTTCATGTACAGGTGGCAGCTGTTTCATCAGACAACTGTTTCTGCAGCCTCTTTATTATTTTGTAGCATTTTGATACCTCTCATCATTCTCTGTGTGATTGGAGGTCTGGGATATGAGAACTTCAAATTTCCTGTCAAGGATGTCCTAAACCTATTTTCTCTAGAGCTGAATGGATAGAGAATGGCAAATTCTTATGCAGAATCTTTGTTTGGAATTTTCCGTCAAATGATTTTTAGTGGGGAGAGAGCTCTCTGTCTGAAAGGGAGAGAGAGGTTTAATTTTGGCTTTTAACAGAGCAGAGGACTCAGCACATGATTAAACTATGTTTTGGGCTTAGTGAAAGAAACAAAATTACTTGAATAAATAAAAAGCTCCTATTTCTGCCTTTGTGGAATTTAGGGACTGATTGGAGTCTGATGGATTCTCATTCTGGAGATTCTCTATCCCCACCGGTTTGTTAGTTCTCTGTGACCAAGGCACCTGCCTGTTTTCTTCATTGTTGTGCCCTCAGCTCTTAGAAGGCACTCACGTAATTGAGGGATAAATAAAATAATGTTGACTTTATTTCTCTTGGATCAATACACTGAATCATTAGGTTAGCATGGGAAGGTGCTTAAAGCAAGACTTTGGAGTCAGATGTAACTTGGCTTGGCTCCTGAATTTGGCTCTAATTATTACCTTACCCTTTTGAGTCTCAGTTTTCTTAACTGTAAAACTGATAGTTTACAATGACCACATGATATTCTGCATGTAAAGAACTTACCGTAGTATATTCATCTGATCTCATGCTGCTAATAGACATACCTGAGGCCAGGCATGGTGGCTCATGCCTGTAATCCCAGCACTTTGGGAGGCTGAGGTGGGTAGATCACCTGAAGCAGGAGTTCGAGACAAGCCTGGTCAACATGGTGAAACCCCATCTCTATTAAAAATACAAAAAAAAAAAAAATTAACTGGGCGTGGTAGCATACACCTGTAATCCCAGCTACCCAGGAGGCTGAGGCGGGAGAATCACTTGAACCTGGGAGGCGGAGGTTGCATTGAGCTGAGATCACACCACTGCAGTTCAGCCTGAGTCACCCAGTGAGACTCGGTCTCAAAAAAAGAAAAAGAAAAAAAAGGACATAAAGGACATATCCAAATATCTGAGATTGCATAATTTATAAAGGAAAGAGGTTTAATAGACTCACCATTCCACATAGCTGGGGAGGCTTCACAATTATGGTGGAAGATGAAGGAAGAGAAAAGGAACATCTTTTTTTTCTTTTATTTTTGAGACGGAGTCTTGCTCTGTTGCCCAGGCTGGAGTGCAGTGGCATGATCTTGGCTCACTGCAACCGCCACCTCCCAGGTTCAAACAATTCTGCCTCAGCCTCCTGAGTAGCTGGGATGATAGGAGCCTGCCATCACACCGGCTAATTTTTGTATTTTTAGTAGAGATGGGGTTTCACCATGTTGGCCAGGCTGGTCTTGAACTCCTGACTTCAGGTTATCCACCTGTCTTAGCCTCCCAAAGTGCTGGGATTACAGGTGTGAGCCACTGCACCCAGCCCAAAGACACATCTTACATGGACATCTTACATCTTACAAGATCTTGTAAGATTTATTCACTACCATGAGAAAAGTATGGGGGAAACTGCCCCCATGATTTAATTATCTCCACCTGGCTCTGCCCTTGACATATGGAGATTATTACAATTCAAGGTGAGATTTGGGTGCGGACACAGCCAAACCATATCACGCAGTATTTAGCACATAGGACATTTTAAATCAATGCTGGCTGCTATTACCATTCTCAGGATTCACTTGGACCTCCACACTTTTCATAGGATGGGCTGATCATCCTAAGGTTGTAATATCTGCTTTTGTTTCATCTCTAAATCAGGATGCAGTTCTTAAGATTTTATTACCTCTCTAACCCAGAACTCTATCTTATCACATCTCTTTGCACATTTGGGTGCTAATACACTGTCTTTTCTCATATTCTTTGGTTAGTTTGGGCTGAAGTCTTGGATATCATTTAAGCACTTCCACACTAGTATCAACATTTGTCTTACCAAATTTTTGGAGAAAATATAGGCCTGATTCTGGGCTATGCAGATTAGAATAAGCAAAATGAGCTCTCTGGAAAACCTTTTCTGTACCAGGGAAGAGATCGTTGCTTAATCGCTCCTACAACTATTTGTCATCTTTTATGTAAGTCTAGGCCAGAGTTTCCCAACCTCAGCACTGCTGACATTCTGGGCTGGATAATGCTTTATTCTGGGAGGCTGTCCTATGTACTGTAGGATGTTTAGCAGTATCACTGGTCCCATCCACGAGACATCAGAAGCATTCTCCTACTCCCAGCAACCAAAAACATCTCCAGATTTGCCAAATGTTCCCTGGGGGACACAATTACTTCTGGTTGAGAACCACTGGCGTAAACCTTAGTCTTTTGTTTCTCTGATGGATACTGCCCCCTTTCAGGTAACAGTGGACTTTTCTCATTTATTCTTTCTTACTGCCATTCATTCTCTCGGCTCCCTCCTTTTCCCTCTTGTACTGAGAACAACCATTTGCTCAGGTTGAAGTAATTACTAAAGTGCTCTCTGTCAGTGCAAAGATCTAGAATAAAAGCTATTTTAAAAGTACTCAATGATTCTAAAATTCTCAAGGGCCATAACAATCCTCAGAAAGTCAAAGTAGTAAGTATTCTTGCTCTTCTTTAGCTTGTTGAGGGAATGATTAGATGTTGTCAAAATTGTGAGGCAAGTGATATTTAAGACAAATACCACCTTCACTTTTTCTTTACTTCCTCATGTCTTGTGATGCTCCCTTTCTAAAACTTCAAATTTATTTATCATTTATCCTCTGTATGCACATTTTTCTTTTAGTCCTTATCTCATGAGTCCCACATGTATGGGATCTTAGCTCATTATTAGGAGAAACAGGTGATCAATCTAATTTATTTAAAATTGGAAATAATTCCTAGGATTTACTACATTGCTTCTCTTTGCATTTGTGTTTTGTTAAGACAAAACTTTGTAACTCAAAGGAATGAGTCTCATGGACTGTACTGAAGTGAAACGAATTTTCAGCAGATGGGAAAGATAGTTTTAGACATGAGTCTTCATTTACCTCTTAACTCATGTGTCCCAGACAACTACTTTCTCTATATAGTGATGACCAACATACATTTCAAGAGTTTCAAAATAGAGGTTTCCCTACCTTCTTATCATCTTTGCAGTTCTTTGGCGTTGTCTCCTGTTGGATATAACCCTCTCTTCTGAGGAAACTAATTTTCTTGTTGATGTGGTTTTTCCATATGAAATGGTCTGTGAGAGAATAAGGAAGTTAAGCAAAGTGACAAGTTGTGCATTGATGCAAGCTACTGGAAGATGGAACTAAGTTTCAAAATTGTGTGTGTAATTTATGTGAGAGGCTTTGGAGAGGATAGTGGTATAATTCTGGTTGTGGGAGACAGTTAATTTATTGTGAAGATTGAAAAAACTTTATAAGAGAAAAGACAGCTAGAAAAACATTTTATGTGGGAGTGATGAGGACACTATAAAGAGGAAGATTTGGGAAAAGATTAGAGAGGCTGTAGGAAAACATTGGAAGCCTTTCATATAAGAAGAAAGCTATGTAGATTTATTTATAATCTGTAAAAACGAGAGTGTTGGCTCAATCCCTTTCAAGTTTAATATTCTTAATATGACATTCTTGAGAATACTTGTTTATATAACATCCAGAAAATAAAACCAAATTCTAAGATATTTGATCAATTATATGAAAATATATTAAATGATAAATACACTTTTGAATCCAATTCAGGTATTAGTAAGTCATCAATCTATGGACATAGAATATACTCAAGCATGAAAGAGGAGGAGGTCATATGTCCACGTCTTTGTCTAAAGTAACTCTTATACTCTCTGTGGTTGTTTCTGTTACACAATGCTCACTGTAATGTGGTACAGAGAGAAGAGTCCTTCTATTCTTTTTAAATAGCCAACAGTGCTGCATTCTCAGCTTCTCAGGAGTTCAGGGGATCAATATTCCTTTCAATATTTTGAGAGTTTGTATGGGATCATCTTTAGGAACATGTCAACAGAGCCAGTACAGATGCCGTCAAAACAGTGTATGGGGACTATAATCACAAATAGAATGTTACACCCAAAAAATTCTCCAACAATCCTTTATTAAGTGCCTACAATATGTGAGGCACTTTATTGTAGGCACTTAATAAAGGATTGTTGAAGAATTTTTTGTGTGTGTTACATTCTGCTTGTGATTATAATTTCTATACACTTGCTATGTGCTGGGGCTGTTAAGAAGAAAAAGAGGAAACAGACACCCGAGTGCAACAGCAGCCATTTCCAAATTATAGTTTTTCTCTGTTTGCAAAAGCATAGTGATTAGAATGGAGCCAGTACACAATACGAGAGGCCCACAGGTTTGGAATACAAATGACATGTGAGAGCCCTTTGCTCTGGACATATCTCCACATGGGGTCAGCTGCAGAGAGAGTTAGTGGGGTGGGGGCTACTACTGAGAAGCAGACTTCCTCCAGCTTTAGAAATGGTACTTCCATGTAGAGGAGTGACCCAGAAAGCCTCTGGATTCATTTTTTCTTAGGAAAGATTTTTGAAATACTCTGCTCCATTTAAGTTTTTCTGGAAGATTGGCATTGGATTCTGGAAACATCTGGGGGGTGCAGAAAACTCCTCTGGAGGTACAGTTCTTGGATCTTCTATGTAGTTTGGGATTCGACACAAAACAGATTGAAATTCCAGGGCAGGCTCTATTTTCATGGAGGGCTCTCCAACCTACAACCGGCTCACCTGCATGCTTTTGCTTTTGTGAGTTCTTCAGGCTGAACCTCACACCCTGCAATCTTCTTTAGGGATGTTCTGGGGATTATAAATGGCTCAAGCTTGGGAGACAGGTACAGGAAAGGAGGGCCGGGGTAGGCTGTTAAGGATAGTTTAATGAAATCCATTTTTATCCAGCTAAAATGCCTAGCGGATAAAGAGACTTAGTTCTACCTCTGGCTTGAATCTCCCTCTGTGACTTTGGGTGAGTCACATTTCCTGTCTGGGGCTTTGTTTCTCCATCCATAAATTGAGGGAATGGACTAGATAATTTCTAAAGTTCTAAGTCGATCAAAGTTGATCTAAGTTTCTAAGTTAATCAAAGCAGAAATGGTTCCTAATTATATCTCCTGTTGCTATTTCTAAGTTCCTTTAAAAAAAAGAATAAAGCCATCTCATAAGACCCTAATTAACTGAGTTTTCCTTATAAAATTATGTCTTTGCATTAAAGAGGGTACAGGACGAAAATGAATACCCACAATCCTTCTTGCAAATGAGATACCCTAATTAGTCCTATTACAAAGAACAAGATAGATTTTTTTTTTTTTCAGTTTACCTACAGCATCATAGGAAAATGGCAATGATAAAATGGGAGAGAATGGATTGATTATTGCTGCTTGAGCCCATACAGAAATAGGGCCTTGGAGTTGCTGGATGCCATTGATTGCTATCTATTCATTCTCACAACAACTTTAAGGAAAATGCAGCCAAGAGGAGATATACTCCCAGGTTAGAGATACAATGGGTAACTTCCAGCAAATATTATTTCTGTGTAGAAATGAAAAAGTAAAAATGAGGGATGATATCCATTTTCAGAAAATGCAAGACTGGTATAAAATTAAAACATTATAATGTCCAGAAAGATGATTATGCATAAATGGCATATCCTGACTGAATTTGTCATCAGCCACAGTGTTCGATTCATACCTACCTGTTTTACAGGAAAAATAAAAGATAAGTACACATTGCTGCTAGCATCAAAGAAGCAATGCAACTCTAAAGACAGAGCTGGAATCTTTTTCTTGCATTAACTTCAAATCTGTCAGTGGTATAAATTATGATTGCAGAAGTTATATTATTGTGGCAGTATTATAAGCAAGAAGAATATAGCAGTATTTTCAGATCCCAGGTGGAACATATATGGCTGGCATTTATATCCCAGTTTATGATTTATAAAGCAAGAACAAAATTATGAAGGGAATATAAGTGCTGCCCCACCTAATCTGTCATTTTGTTGCGTTACATCCAATTTCATAACTTCTTTTTCCCTTATTTCTTATTTAGAAAAATGAATGCAGTGCTATCATTTTTAGAAGGAAAAGACCAGAGTTCATTGTATTTAGAGACGGTCATGAATGGCCTATTTATATTAAGTATGAGAGTTTCCAGAACAGCGATTAAAAATGTTTTAAAATTCCAGATTAGAAATGTGGGATTTTCCTTTTGGGCTAAAAAGCACTCTTTAAAAAGTTACAATTATACAACTCACAGGAATGAATTAAAATTAGAAGATTTGCATTTATTCTCCTCTCTTCATGGCAGTATAAACTTTATGTGTTAGGGTTTTGATTCTTCTTTTCCTCTTCTTTACTTGCAATTAGAATTCTGAACATGTATTGGTATTTAAAATGGTAGTTATCCCGGACTTAATGTAGTTGATTCCATTCCTGAGAGACACATTTCTTATCCCCTGATTACACTCAGTTTTACTTCTACCTCCTTATGCTACTCAAGTAAAATTAACCTTGGTGTGACTTCCACCTTCCTCAGACTACTGACCTGGAAATAGGGATTTTTAAACAGGAATCTAGCACATGGTCATCATGAGGTAATCCTTCTCCAATATTCTTTACTGGAAACATCTGGAACATGATTAATAGTTTGGAAAATAGGTTATGTTAGTAAAAGGTAATAATAATTGAAAATGATTTTTTATGTAGATAAATGTGATTTTAAATACAAAATGTAAGTTCATGAGAAGCAGTTGGAAGAAGGGCAGTTACCTGTTATTCATTCTTTTGAATATTAAAGAAGATCATATATAATAGCAGGAGAAATTTGTGTTAGGAATAATGATCCAGTTTTGTAGAAGTTGCCCAGAGAGAAGGTAAATTCTATAGTGCGAAAGAAAAAAGATAAATAGTTAAATGTCTATGAAGTGTCAGAATTTTGAGCCCAGGACAAAATTGTCCCCATGTTTGTTGCAAGCTTTTTTTCACTTACCAATGAGGTGGTAAATATATATTTATATTATTTACATTTGTATTACTTGTATCCATTATTCTGCTAAGGTGTAATGAGCTACAGGTTTTCTTGGAAGCAAATCTGGGATACATAGAATTGATTGTTTTAGAATGCAAATTCCAGTAATCAGGGACTATTCTGGGTTCTGAGTATGTGGAAGTATTCTGGCAAGAAGCAAACTACAATAAGCTGTTTATAACTACAAGGAGTCACCAGTGTCATGAGACATGAAAAAAATGTGATGAGGGAGGCATAATTTGATGTAGAAGAGTCGCAGGCAAAGAGAACCCATTTTAAAACATCTTATTGGAAAATGTGAATTGTTTATTTGTCATCAGACTGCCAATGCTGAAAATACGGCCCAAATTAGGGGCTCAAATTAAAACATACAGAGCAAGAGCAATACGTTGGACACAGTTTTCATATATTTTTGAGAAAGTATTAAGAAATACAGTGAAGGTATTTATTGATTCAGTGGTATTTTTCTGTTTATTTCTTAGAACTATATTTTATGCTGCATTCTTTTACTTCATAAGTATCCCCTTTCTTCCTCTATGCTTTTGTCTGGGATTGAAATAAAATAAAACATTTAGGGCTATCCAAGGCTGTCAGGTCCATAATGAAATCTGGCTTTATTTATGTGTGTGCTTAGAGGGTTCAGAGCAGTCGGAGCTGCTAACTGTTGTGTTAAACATTGGTTGGCATGCTCCTCCTTTAAATCCTTTGAAAAGAGCTGATTTTTTATGTTCATGCAAAAGAGTCCTCAGAGGATAGTGAGGGTGAAATGTGGTCTGCTCATACATGAGATTATCTTATTATACAACCTATGCCATTATTAGAGGAAGAATCATTTGTGGGGTAAAGTAATATGGATCTCTTTCCTGTAGTGTGAAGAACAGGTGTTCTACGGCCTAGGAAATTTAGAGGAAACTTTAATCATGCCTGTAGATTTCAGTAATAAAAATGTATGACCTGTGTTTGGCATAAATGGCATCATAGTATGACAATCAAATCTGGATTGTATATCTTAGTTTGTATATCTAACACACATTATTTTGATTTAAGTAACTGGGAAAATTAGTATTTTTTTAATGTCCCAAGTATACATAATGATTAGGATAAGTTTTTTAAATGGGGAATTATGACCTAAAATAATTTTTTCCATGGAGAATGGATGCCTTGGTATTAAGTAATCATAGCTTTATGTTTGTACCAGGATGTTATTGATAACTGTGAGGGAAGTGGTTTGGGCACCTCACCATTAGCAAGAGCAATATTTACACTGGAAGAACAAGTGAAGTCTACAAGGAATGTTAAGGTCCAGGAAACTATAGGGTCATTATAGAGATGTGGTATTCAAATTAGCAAGACCTTCAGCATAGGCATCACCTAGGAGCTTGTTAGAAATGCAGAATCTGAGGCAGTGCCATGGACCTGCTGAATCTACAGTTTAGTCAGCTCTTAAGGTTGTTGGTGTGCATGCTAACATTTGAGGAATGCTGGTCAAGAGTCTCAAATGGAATGGAGCCAGTAATTGAAATTGGAAAACAGAGTACAAAGAGTGAGGGATCATGAGCCTGGGGTGCTGAAATAAATCAAAGGGATCAGGATCAAAGGAAGTTATGAGTTTTTGTTTGTTTTAATGATGGGAGGGTGGGGTAAGAGAATGGATGGTTGGTATCTTGAGTGATGGCCATAGTTAGAACCACCATTGATGCTTCGAGTTTTATGAAGTGTGCATGAGATTACCTCATTTATGATTATGGGTGGAACAGACACTGGGTACTGTGGAATCTGGCAGCTATTAAACATCGAAATAGATCACAAACTTGGAAGCCTGGTAAGGTGGAAGACTTGAGCTGAGTCAAGTCTGGGGAAGTGATTGTTGTTGTCTGAAGATGAATCAGTCTCCTGGGGTTGCAAAACCTATCAAACCTTTCCCTAAGAGCAAAGGCATTGTATTGATGGGATGATTATAAAGTTGGGCTTAGCTGTATTCATTTCTGAAGTCAGGTGAGTATTGCATGTGAGTGTTCTTTCCAGATGGCAGTGACAGATTATGCAGGCAGGCCTAAAGATGGAAACACTAGTAAAAAGAATGAGATTTTGCTAAGTTGAGATTTGAGGAGCAGTTAGACTCACATTCTGTTGGAAATCACTGGGAAGCCCAACCATCTCACAGTTGAAGAAATGTCAGTAATTATGTTTTAATTTCTAAAATTTAAATTAACTTTTTTACTAACACTAAATATTTTAACATTAATTTTTATTGATTTTACTTATTTTCCTCTAAAAAACAGAAATACACTCATAAAAAGTCAAAAGAATATAGAACAATGATTAAAATCAATCTACAGTATATAATATACACATATTTAATAGGTTGTAGCATTTTATATATACCCTCTCTCCAACTTCTTTCCCCTTTCCTCCCAATTGGTAACTGTACTTATGGCTTAGCATGTTGTATTCCATATCTTAGGAGGAAAAAAGAATTTTTTAGTCATGATAGCATCTGAAATTTTGGAAGAGAAGAAAATTTGTTTTAGTACCAACAAATCTTTTGAATAAAAATTGTATAGGGCTTTTAAGGACTATAATAAGGCCCAAAAGACAAGATCTTTCTTTGAACTTACTAGCACTGTAGGCAGGAAATGGGCTGCAATGTATTTTAGTCCCTGCCAATTATGTCAGTGAGATCAGAGGTATATATACAATATATTTTTAGTGGTTACCAGCACTTAAGCTGTGGCAATCCTCATCCTACACTCTTGTGGCTTAGCTTGGCAGATCTGAGATGGGACATAAGCCACAAAGTGCTATGGGTCTTAGGACATAATGAAGTCATACATTACGGTAAAGGGTGGGGAGGGGGAAGAAACCCCAACATTTTCCAATAGCCAAGGTCTTTGCACATAGATGCTGCACATACATTTTATTATTTCTGTATTTATAGCTACTTAAACTATGTAAAGATTGCCTTAATTTCTTTACCTATAAACTTACAGGACTAAGTGACTTGCCTTTATTTATGCCACAGGGCTATTCAATGCCATCTAGAATACCCTTCAAAGCAAGTATCCCTGGCTCCTCTCCATACACAGTAGGTGTTAAATGATAGAACTCTGTTCGTGGGTATCTTGTTAGGTGCTATTGGGGCTCGGAAACAGATACTTCAAACTATGGTGCATTGACATGCTGAACTGAAGAAGCCTCAAGGTCTTTTTGATTCCCCATTCCCATCTCTCAATCTTCTGTTCTCCCCGGCCCCCAAAACAGGATGAAGTTGTTCTTTGAAGTTTCCTTATCTGCCTAAAGACTGGACCTGCCAAAAAGAAAACAATTACTGCTGGTCCCTTCCCTGAGTTTTCAATAACTGAACTCACATGACAGGAGGAAACACTGAAGTCAGTAAACACTCCTGGATAGACTTGTCACAAACCACTGTAGGTTCTGTGGGCCCAGCAGATTTTGTCCCAGGCCTTTGTATGTTCTTCGAGCCCATTGACTTCCCCTAAAAATCATTTACTATGCCCCTAAAATCATCCAGACTTCCTCATCTCCCTTTTCCCCTAAGAAGGGTGTATAACCTGTACCCCATTGCATAGTGGGGTAATCACTCTGTGATCTTCCCTCATGCACATCAATAAATTTATATGCTTTTTTCTTTTAATCTGCTGTTATGAGTTGATTTTTTTTTTTCAGCAAACCCTCAGAGAGGGAAGGCAGGACTTCCTACAGTAGGCATGGCCCCTACAGTACCCATGGTTAGAACTTCTTGACACTTTACCTTGGCTGCCAAAGTCATTCGGTTAACTGGAGTGTGGTGAGTCTGGGGTGAGAGGTAGATGTGATGAAGTGAGGAGGCAGTGTGAGTAGACTGCAGCTAGACTTGGGAGGACAGCACCTATACCAGCCTTCTGTGACCAGTCAGGTGATGGCTCAACCTCCCTGATCCTCACTCCTTGTGATGCCATCAAATGCAGGGCATGGGACATGAGAGCAGGAGCTCCTGGACTGTGAACAACCAGGATGACTAGAAGACCTTTGGTTTAAGTTCACACTTCAAATTGGAAATCACCACCAGAGTGTAACTATCCCTAGTAAAAGTGTGCTTTGTTGAAATAAGTTAATTTTGCTTGTATTTTAATTACCTATAAGTGTTAGAATGAGGTCATATGTGATAATATAAAAATGAATGGAATGGTTCATTTTTTTGTTGGTTCCATTGTGTTTTCCATTCAGAACCATAATTATGCCATATAAAAAAGTATTAATTTGAATTTTTAAGAAAAATGGCCACTTTTAATCCTTTTGAAAATGTGAATGCACATTGGTCTTTCCCAAGGGATAGTTCGGTTGGTCTGGAAAAACATCTTTCCATTTGATATATTTTCTTCTCATATGTTTCTTATTATTTTAGCTTCATTTGACCCAGTGATATGTGCTCTGCAAATTTATGGATTATTCCTTTTGATTTGGGGCATGTACTCCTAGGCTTAAATCAATCTCAACTGTGCACGTTTATTATGGGTTCAGGAAGGGGAGCCAGAAACCATCTTCTGAGTAATCAGAATTTTCTATTGTTTCTTTCTTTGTTTCTTTCTTTTTTTTTTTTTTAAAGCCACTAAAGCATTTCCTGAATGATCTCCACTAAGATTGAATTGTTTTTTTCTCTGATGGTCATATATAATTGAAAAGTAATACAGTTAATATTTAAAGAGGCATCGTTGATATTCACCTGGAGATATTTTTCTAGGAAAAACAAGCATTATGATTTGCTCTTCAAATAGCTATCATAGGATTACACTGCACAGCAAATAATACATATATATATATATACATAGTGTTAAAAACTCAGACTACATTTGTATAGTAGATGTCCAATTATTTCACATTAATACCTCTGATTATTTTTGTTGTTCATGCCAGTCACAATGTTTAAATCAGTTGCTCACAGAAAGGGACTTTTTATGAGAAAGAGATGTAGCCTTTTGTCTTTTGTAAGTGAATTCATGGAAGGCATTTTACAAGTGGATTTTCTGCGGCAAGACTTTATCCCATACATTGTTGAAACTTTTATTAGTCAGGTCTTATCAAATTTCCACTTAACGTATTTCCCCCTCCATTTAAACACCAGGACATGAAGATAATTTAAATGGCCCGGGAAATTTACATATAGCTATTCATAGGATCAAAATACTTTCTTTTAAACTGTTTACTTGGATGCTATTAAAAATTATGTGGTAAAAGACAGTAATTGTTAGTACGACAATGCAGAGTAATGGTACTATAAGAGGAAAAATTTCGGTGTGGATTTTTTAGGAGAAGTAATATTTACGGTTCTATTTTTTTAAAGGGCTTGACACGAGTTATTAATTCATTTATGTTTGTGCCTAAAACCTGTAGGTGTAATAGCAAGCCAAGCCCAGGAAAACTTCACCTTACGCAAATACAAAGAGCCTGTGTGCGCATGCGCACACGCATATCTTTTTGGGGGTGGGAGGATAGGATCTTTGCTCCTGAAGATACTCTGTAAATATCTTTTGTTTTCATATGTTTCCCTTTCCCTTTGTCTGAAGCCAGTTGGATTCTCCTCTGCACCAGCACCCTAAGTGACAGCCCCTGGCAGTAATGAGGCTGCACACTCTGCTATAATTGAACCCTGTCAGCGCTGCCCATTAAGGCCGTGGTGTGTATGCCAGCTCATTAATCCAAAGCCCATTTCTTCTCCTCTCTCATTTCCCTTTTATACTATGGCACTGTTTCAAGTCCTGATCCCCTCATTGTGCATATGGAGGTTCAGGAATAGAGAGTAATTGGTGTTGTTGCACCCGTCTTGAGGAATAACCCTTTTAATAAAGACATGTTCACATCTGCAAACTAAGACCATTGTGTCATGATTGCGTATTGTTTGGACTTCTAGGAGAGTCTATTTGCAGTAGTCTAGATGGTCTATTTGCAGAATTTTTCTTTGTGCATTCAGACCCAGAATTTCAAACTCTCACAATTCCATGATGTAAAGGTACATATTTGTGATTAAAGATACACATGCATTTATACATATGTAATTTGCTTTTATAATAAAATTAATGATGTATTTTGACTCTCACTGTGAGTAAGAGTTAATTATCTCCCATGTACCAGCATAAAATACAGTGGGCTTCTGTATAATCATACTCTTGGTTAGTCAAAATTTCGGAGAAAAACTTTCCTGCTTTCTTCAGCTATTTTAAAGTGTTATGATATTAACATAAAAATAATAGCATTTTTTGTAAAAACAGAGTCTTGCTTTGTCACCCAAGCTGGAGTGCAGCAGGGCAATCTCAGCTCACTGCAACCTCCGCCTCCCGGGTTCAAGCGATTCTCCTGCTCCAGCTTCCCGAGTAGCTGGGATTACAAGCAAGCGCCACCATGCCTGGCTAATTTTTGTATTTTTAGTAGAGATGGGGTTTCTCTATGTTGGCCAGGCTGGTCTCAAACTCGTGACCTCAGGTGATCCACTCACCTCAGCCTCCCAAAGTGTTGGGATTACAGGGGTGAGCCACCACGCCTGGCTAAAAATAATAGCTGATTAATACCAGCATGCCTTTATCTTGTTTATTTTTCTGTATGTAAATAATGCATTCAAATTTTATAATTGTTTTCATTGTTGTATTTTGCATATGCAATCCTTTTGGATGTTATTCTGTGATAGTACAAGTAGAGATGACTTAATTATCACTTACATGATAAAACCTTTCTAACACTATTATGTGTAACTTTGCTTGGAGCCTTTCTTTCATTTCATCTTGCTAGAGAAACCATTTTTTTACACTCAAAAAAATGTAATTAAATGAAATCCCTCTTTGGATAATTTTGAATCTGTAATCGAATTGAAGCTTATCTTTTAATGTGCCTTCTAAGTAGGAGTCAAAGAAAATATACTTTGGGCCTTAGTAGAGAAGGCAATTCAAGGCAAGGTATCATTAAATTGAAATGCAGATGTGAGAAAATGGTCTAGCCTATAGATGGAGAATGTGGGAAGGAGTGTTAAAGGGATGGATGGGAGGAGGTATTGACAAAATTGATCAAAGATTCAGGTGAGTCCTCTAGAAATTAACAGCTCTAAATTGAGTCAAAGTTATTTAACATTATCACTGGTAAGTTGCAAATCTTGTATAGTTTTGAGATAGGAACACATAAAAATAAAAAAAATGAATGGAAATTCTTGATATTTGGTACTTAAATTATTACTTGGTATGATATTATTATTTGAGACAGTCTAATTAGGGTCTAGGAATCCTAGGATTCACTTTCTATACAAGTAAATCACTTTCTGTAAAAGTAAAATCAAGAAAAACAACAATAAACAGGAAAAAACAAGTACATTTCAACTTTTTGAGTGTGGATTGTGTTTTATTCATTGTTATATACTTGTTTGGTTCAATGTGGTGTTTAGTTGCAATCAACATATAGTAGTTTTCAAGCAACATTTAGTACAAAGAATGAACATCCTGTATGAACAGAGATAACTTGTCACTTCTGGTCTGTACAGTACCTGTAGTTCTCAGACTAGTGCTTGGTACAGAGGAAGTGCTCAGTAAGTATTTATTGAATTCATGAATCCAGCTTGGAATGTGGAGGAAAAGATTACTATTAAAACAAGGGTTTTTAACCTGACTTCTTTATGCTATTGAGTATGGTCGAAAGCAAAAAGGAAGCTGTAGTAGAATAACAAAATAAAATATGTTTTTATTATCAAGAACAGTGTATCTAGGTTGAAGCTCAAATCTCCAAAGTAAGACTTTAAACTCTGCTTAACAAACAGACTGGAATTTAGTCTCTTTCCTTATACTCACTGTCAACATTTTGGATTTAAACTCTTTACATTTTTCTCATAAGAACTTGTTTTATTAAATGTCAGGAAAGATTTTAAAAATTTCATAATGACTTAAGAGCCAAATTAATCTCTATTAAAGGCAACACAACATATATTCCTTTCTTTTTAAATTTTTTTTTTTAGAAAAACAAAGTTAAGAAAAGACTCATTAAAGTTATACAATGAGTGTGAGCTGTATGGAATTTGGCACAGTTTTTATGACAAACACAACAGTTTATATCTCACTTCCAGATTATGGGATCAGAAGATAGTTTATTTATTTTTTATTTTTATTTTTTTCCAGTTCTGCATGTGTTGGTGGGGGGAAGGGGAGAGGGATTTGAAGGAAAGTGAAAACATGGATAGCTGTCCTAAATAAATCAGTCAAGGAACAAGAGTGCTTAAAGTATTTTTTATTTGTTTGTTTAAACTGGAAAAATGGATTGAGGTAGGTATGGGTATCAAATGGACCCCACCCTCTAATTTCATTGATTTTCTTGTTATTAGCAATTTGACTCTTGATTATAACCATGTGGCTGGGAATTTTTATTAAGATAGAGAGGCGGTCCAACAGTTTTTTATGAAAGCGCAATTACAGTGAAAGGAAAATAAACATGTTATGTGTTTTTAAAAATGCTTGAAGAATTTGTAATCATGGACTTTTATACACCATTTAAATGAAAACTCAGTATTTGAATCTGGTGGTGATTTAAATATTTATGTAAAAGAGGACATTATCAGATTATTTTCCTGTCATTCTTATTCCTCTATAATTTTCCCCAAATTTTTGATATTGGCCACTTTTGTACCTCCTGCAGATGTCAACAATACAAGGGTCCTCATGTATTGAAATACCCACTTACGGGTATTTCAGAGACTGAGCCGCTGGAAGCCCTTGGCAGTGTTTTCATAAGGGCTGATGCATTCTCTTATGGGTAGAGGCCATGGCTCTTACAGAAAAGATTATTAGGCTTAAAAAAAATCAAAAAAAAAAAAAAACAATCTTGCCAACTGCCGCCTTTTCCTGCCTTCATTTGGGCTCAAGTCGGATAATACCACCAACCTCTCACTGAATCCCATTTCCTAAACTTATCTCATTTCTCTTAGACCCTTTAAGACCTTGGTGGCCTCCAAATTAGCTAATGGTGGTATCCTTAACAAGTGTGACCTACGCTCTTGGGACCGTTAGAAAGATCTGATAAATCAGAAGTAACTGCTTGCTAGTAATTTAGTTGGGGTGGAAGGTGAGAGAGAAGCTAATGCTACTGTTACTAGGAGATGACTTACATGAGGTATGGTAGAGACCATGAAATAAACATATGAATAGATGGAAATTTGTGTATCATGCTCTAAAGAGCTATCTTGTCCATTGACATGAATTAGCTCAACATCTATTGCATACATTTATGACTTAAAATTTTGAAGATCCTTTTCCTCCTGAACTTTCTAGATGCTTGCACCCTTTTGTTTAAGGGGTTAAGATTGATGTTGCCCATTAACTTAATATGATATGACTGTTTTTTAAATTTATCTGAATTCTAATTTTAAAATTTTCTTGAGAATATCTTCTAATATTCCATGCTGAGAATATTACCCACATGTGGTCATGTGGACTCCCTCCATCTCAGAAAATACTGCCCTTTACTCCTAAGCACCTGACCTCTACTCCTTCAAACGTTATGTAGAACTGGACTCCACGTGAGATAAATGCGTAATGTTTCACTGTATTATTATCTTAATAGTCTCATTGGCGGAACAAATTTTAAAACCCACATTTTACCCAATATAATCCTTTCCTCTACTCAAGTTTTTCACACTATATGAGCTCTGGGATTTTTCACCTCCTGTGTGCTTAAGGACACATCTTTGTTTTATAGTAGTCTTATATGGTTGGTTTCCTGAAAGAAACATTAGGTTTTTAAGTCTCTTGTAGTGGTTGTCACAGCCATGTTGTTATTTGATGGATGCCATTTGTTGAGGTTGAGGTAGAAGGTGATGAAAGTGGAATTCTTGAGTCATAGCCTCTGAGTTTCAGTTAGAGCTTTTTTGAAAAATAGTTTGGAAATTCATAACAAAGACTGAAATTTTGTCCTTTCGGGAATATTACCTAAAACCAACCAACAAACAAAAAGGAAAACAAAAAACTATTAGGGATATGCATGAAGATTGGACCAAAGGAGTATTTCTTTCCAGACAAAAGGCAATATAAGAGGGGAGAAGGAGTATATTACTTAAGTTTTCAATAGTAGAACATTTCCTAAGTTTTATATATTTGTAAGTGACTATGTAGTCATTTATAATGAAGCTGTGTATTTTTATTTATTACTCAGAACCTTAGCAAAAAATGCATTATGGAGTATGGTTTCATGTTTACTGAAAAAAATAAGTGTCTTTTTTATATACCAAGGTGCAAATGGATGTTAAAGGTAACCTGTGAGGATTATGAGTATTTTTGTTTTTGTCTTTATATTTTGTGTCTTTTCTAATCTTTCTACAACAAATAGATGCTCAATTCATATTACAGTGTTGACGTTCATATAACAGCCCTGCATATTTATCAAAACATGTTTTGTTGAAGACTTACTATTTGCCAAGTACTGTCCTAGGTCCTAAGCATGTACAGTATTGGTGAAATAACATTCTATGTTCTTGTAAACCTCATAACTATAGTGAACTTGCTGCAGCTATTATCAGTCATATCCTAAAGCACCAGGAAAAACAAACAAGACTATTACTTTTATTGACCTAGCAAAATGAACGTGAATATTTTAAGTTAATTTGGCAAGATTCACACAATTTATTTATTTATTTGGCCAAAGATGTTCCTGCTGCCAGTGGTAGTTAAAACAAAAGATGTTGAAGGCTATCTTTAGTTTATTATTGTTAGAGCATGTTTCTTTTTTTTTGTATACATTTAACGGGTACAAGTGCAGTTTTGTTACATATATATTGCATAGTGGTTAAATCTGGGCTTTTAGTGTAACCATCATATAAATAGTTTACATAATATCCATTATGCTTTCAATGTTTTATCTGTGGTCTTCAGCTTCATTCTATGTTCTCAGAGTCCTTAAGACATGGAGGTAAAATTTGATAAGGAATTGAACAGATATATCACATCCTACTGATTTAGGCACAACTTATATATTAGTCTCTAATTGTTTACAAAGTAAGAAAGTTTGATTTTATAAAAAGAGAACTTAGGCTAATTCAAAACTTTGTATACCAATTGGGGTGGTAGTATTTCATTATGGATTTCATTAGTGGGTGAGAAGGAGAGATTCTGCAATTGCAAATATGTTATCTAAATTAAATTCTAAATTAGCCTTATAATAAAATAATAAATGATAATATGCTAAGACCCTACAATACTGTAGTATCATGTTGGTGTGTGTGTGTTTTTAACAATTATGGCGGGCAGATCACGAGGTCAGGACGAGACCATCCTGGCTAATGCGGTGAAACCCCGTCTCTATTAAAAATACAAAAAAATTAGCCGGGCGTGGTGGCGGGCGCCTGTAGTCCCAGCTACTCCAGAAGCTGAGGTAGGAGAATGGCGTGAACCCGGGAGGCAGAGCTTGCAGTGAGCCAAGATCGCGCCACTGCACTCCAGCCTGGGCGACAGAGCAAAACTCCATCTCAAAAAAAAAAAAAAAAAGAGAGAAAAAAAAAGAAAAAAACAATTATGTTTCATAGTGATAAATTTAAATGCAGAAAGCCATTCTGCTTTTAATAGATCAAATCTCATCTTAGAGCATAAATAACATTTTGCAAATGAAAATTTCTTGAACTATTCAGGGTCATGGCAATTAACGTATCACAGGTTAATTTCAATTAGTAATTGATCAATGTTTCTCAAATAGCTGAAAAAGCAAGATACCTGAAATCATTTAAGAGAGCAATTTCATACACGGTATGTGACAAACACCATTCCCTGAGATGTGGTAATGGTGGTGGTGTACGGTGAAGGGTTTGATACCAAAAACACTTGGGAAATGCTGTATACTGTTTTCTCTTGGACATACAAAGGCACATGAGCATATTGAAGGCTCTGACCAGTACTGCAGTAAAGAAGTCAATTTAATTTTGTTTCATCTAGTGTTTTTAAAATGTTTACATCAGGAAATTTTCATATTTCCTAATATGACATACTCTGGTATTCTGTGAACCTTCTTTGACCAGGATTGTCTACACTCTAGAGTAGTGCTTCTGAAACTACTGTGGACAAAGATTAAATTTTAAAATTCTAATCTGTCATAACAGGCCACTAGTGATGACTAATTTTAGCTTGTACCACGTTAAGTCTGACAACATTCACACTGGCCTGTATCCTGTTCAACATGTGTCCAGTGGTCATGTAGTTGGGTGTTGTAACAATGTTAACGTACTGTAATAGTTTCTAAATGCTTACCCTGTTTCCTCCATTCTTACCTGTCTCCCTTTGGACCAGCACTGGCAGGAGTAACTACTTTTGAATAGGACAAGTCCAGAGCCTCACTTACTCACAGTGAGGTCTGCAGACCCGTTGTATCAGGATCACCTGAGAACTTGTTAGAAATGAGGTACCTCAGGCTTTCCCGAGATGTGTGGAATTATGAATCTTTATTTTAGCAAGATCCCATGTGACTTCTGTGCGCAGAAAATTTTGGGAAACATGAATCCAGAACCATGCTGTTCAGTAGAAGTAGAATGCAAGCCAAATATGTAATTTTAAATTTTCTTGTAGACATGTAAAAGTGGAACTAATTTTAATGTATTTTATTTAACTCTCTATATAATTTCAGCATACAATTGATATAAAATAATCATAAGACATTTTGCATTTTTTGAGACTTTGAAATTTAATGTTTTTATACTTAAAACAGATCTCATTTCTCATTGGCTACATTTCAAGTATTTAGTAGCTGCATGTAGCCATTGGCCATTACATTGTACCCCTCAGAACCTAGAATGTTATCTGGCACATAGCAAGTGCTTAGCAAATATTTATAGAATTAAAGTAGCTGAGGAAGAGCATTTACTGAAGGCAAGCAATGTATAAGCTACATTGCCTCTTTAAAACTTGAAGGTGTTTAGGTGGAAAAACATTTAAAACCAGGTGTCTGACTCCTTGGTCCATTTTCTTTTTACTTCTTTACTGCTTTTTATTTTTTTGTGAATCTCTAAGTACATTAAGTAGGATTTTTTAGTTAGCTATTTAAAATCCAGTTTCCTAAATACTCATATATCTGCCTCAACTCCTTTCTGGAAAAAGTTCAACTGTAAGTAGATAAATAATCAAGACCGAGATTCTGGGTTATTTGTTTTTTATTTTCTCCTCTACTAATTTCCTGACCATTTTTCCTTTTTATTCATTTCGTTTTATTATTTAAATCTACTTTTAGAAAATTGCTTAGATATGTATTAAGATATCCTAAAATTTATTTTTTGATGAGAGAAGGATTAGAAAATTGAAATTTGATTGAAATTTGATGAGAGAAGGATTAGAAGATTGAGAGCAATTGGTCAAAAACAAATTTCAAATTATAGCACTTGTCTATGTAATATGGGACCTTAAAATAACTATTGACTCCTGGTGTCCAGGAGATCTAGAACCTTGCAGTCCTTGGACAACAGAACAATCACAAGATGCTGAGGTAGTGCTGTACCTACCAGTTTCATTATCATAGGTTGGGGAGGGTAGGAGTTGAGGTCTCCTGGTACAGGAGTGCAAAGGGCAAGTGCTTAGGAGTCATTTGCCCCTAAGTGTGGTGACTAGATTTTTTGAAAGAAGACAAAACACAAAATTTTTTCTTGTACTATCTCCTAGCTTGGTCTCCACTGTTTCTACTCCCATTTTTAAGACTAACGAAATCAGAATATTGGTTCTAGGTACCTTGTAAATAGAAATACTTTTTTTTTTTTTTTTTTTTTTGAGGTGGAGTCTTGCTCTGTCCCCAAGGCTGGAGTGCAGTGGTGCGATCTTGGCTCACTGCAACCTCCACCTCCCGGGTTCAAGTAATTCTTGTGCCTCAGTCTCCTGGGTAGCAGGAATGGTAGGTGCTGTCTGGCCAATTTTCATATTTTTAGTAGAAAAGGGGTTTCATCATGTTGACCAGGCTGGTCTCGAATTCCTGGCCTCAAGTGATTCACCTGCCTCAGCCTCCCAAAGTGCTGGGATTACAAGCATGAGCCACGCCTTCCTGAATCTAAATAGAAATTCTGAAACTACTATTGTTTCTTAGTCATCTACTGCGTGACTTGTTCAGTGAAACCTCCCAACAGAGCTGGTGGGGCAAGTTCCAGCATTTTAATTAAGAACTCATTTAATTATGTTAATTCATATGGGAGCTAGTAAACTCAGAAGAAAATGAATGTAGGAACTGGACACCCCAGTTTTTAATCTTGTTTTTTCCTCAACTCAACTTTTCCAAACTTCAGTTTCTTCATCTGTTAAAATGAGGATAACAGGAAAGCCCTAGGATTGTATTGAGAGGAGTAAATAAAACAACATGTTTTAAGATGTTTACATGGAGTTGGGCCCACATATATTAGTTATCCACCCTTTCTCCTGAGTGATAAGGGTGTGGGGAAATAGGAATTTCACATGCCAGTGGTTGGTAGAAGCATTAATCAGAACAAGTTTTATGGAGGACAATTTGGCAGTCTTGACACAGCAGTACTACCAATTGTATACTTGTGCAGCCAAAGGATAAATTCCTAAGAAATAGGAACAACGGTGCTCAGATAAAATTATTTCATAAAATCCAAAACTGCAGACAACTGAAATGCTCATAAATTAGGAGCTGATTAAATTATGGTAAATCCATATAATGAAATGTGTAGACATTACAAAGGATGACATAGATATCCTTGGGAAGATGTCCAAGACCCATTAAGTGGGGAAAAAATGCAGGATGCTCTTCTTTGTACAATGTATAAAAGAATTTGCAATAAATTATTAAATGGATCAACCTGAGAAGTAGAAATGAGATCTGAGAGAACTTTCCTTTTTTCTCTTTCTCTGTAGTCTGAAATTTTTATTATGAGCAGATATTGCTTTTCCAAAGCATTTATGTCAATATTTATGATAGGGAATGTATTGCCTTGTGGCTCAGTACCCTAATTCTGGGATACAAAAACCAATTTGGTGGAAGGGGCTCAATATCTGATAGTGTGGTAGTTTTGGAGTTTTGCCAGGCACATAATTTAAAATCAATTTAAAAGCCCGTGTATTCTGAATTTGATTCAGTATGTCAGTTTGGTCTAGAATTGATTGTTCTGGCACTTTTATATTGCACAACCCAGTGTTCTATGTTAGGATTCATAACAAGTTAGTTTACTATTTTGCAAGGATTCAAATGGTTATAGTACATATGAAAAATGCAGCCTTAAAAAAGTCATATTGACTCAGTTTCTCTCCATCCCCCAATATAATATAAATTGTTATATTGTAGATTAAGTCTGACTTAATCTTCTTGGGGGAGATCAGTTTGTTATTCATTTTTTTGCACTGTGTAAAAGAACACGAAAGATAAAATAAATTCAAATTGATTTATTATAGGAGGGGCATATTCTGAATGAGCTTAGCTAAGTACATACTAAAACAAAAGTAGCTTATAAAAAATGTGATAATGTAAGGATTTTTTTCTAATCCTGATTAGATTTTAAATTGTCCCTTCAGTAGTTTGCATAATTATAAGGCACTGCTATAGAATGAGTAACAATAGAAAATAACTCATTAATGCCTGTTTCTCTTTGGCATTGTTCCAGGGCATGCAGCTTGATGTTTGCAGAGGAGACAGTCTAGCATTTCCCAGTCTGATATGGAACATCAAAGATTGCTAGGATTTCTCAGTACTCAGACATTCCTCATTTTGTCTGAAGTGGTAATATCCTGAAGAGCCAATAGTTGCATGGAATTTAAAGTATTTTGGCACTTATTCTTATAGTATTTTCAAATGTAGTTTATATTAGAGAAGTAGATTGAGATTTCTTGGCTTTTAAGCAAAATGAGTTATTGCAAAATCTAGTTTTTGAGCCCAAGGTTATAAGGTAATTGCAATGCTGGTGACTAAACCGGATTGCTTTTTAGAACTAGGTTTTAAATACCTACCACTTACAAGCCATAGTGTTTGATTATCACTAGTGCATTTTTAGTGTGGTGCCTAGACATTAGATATGAATCCCTAATTAATGAATAATGAGATGTTGAATCTGGAGTACTGGAATTTTATTCTTCATTGTAATATTTTCCAATACAGGTTGTGCTCAGCCATAGTGCATCAGGATTGGCTATATATACACACCGTTGATGACTTCCAAACACTTACAAAGTAATCAGTTTCTATCTTAATATGGTTAAACTATTGACAGGCCCTATGGGTTTAGACTGATCAGACCCCTTGATAAAAGGAATTCTTTTGATATATAAACATGAATACAAATGGGGACCCTAAAATACATACTCTTCTTGGAACAGACACTGTAGAACAAATCCACTCATCTCCTAGTCATTCAATGTGAAGATATGGAGTAAATACTAAGACAGTCTTGACCAGTTTGTCATGTAATAAATAATTCTTCACTGTTATTTCTTATGGATAAATGTTTAATAACTGGTTTATGTTAAAAAATGGTTCATGATAAAAAAAATTTTTTTCCTATCACATGAAGAATTTTGGGCAATCAACAAGGATTGCATGGTTTGATAGTAGATTTTAATAAGATAAAATGATATATCAGGATGTGTGCATATATAGTACCTTCACACAATATTACTAAAATTTATTTTGTTAATATGTTGGTATGGTATTAATATTAAATTGCTATATTAGAAATATACCAATATTATTTTCTATTAAGTATTATTAAATTGGTGTATTAGAAATTATAATTTAAAGATGCCAGGGCATGAATATTAGTTGAAAATTGGTTTTATTGAATTACTGGAAGAAAAAAAGAATCTCTTTGGACAGTGAATAGTGAACTTAGATATTTGTACAATGTATTGTTGAGAATAGAAGAAAACTGCCCTTTACATTTTTCACCCAGATGTGTGCTTTCTCCATGGCTTCTGACCCTTTCCTGGCCACCATGGTTTGAGCGCTAAGTCATCTGGGTTCTAAGCCATAACTAGCAGAGCCCCTATTTACTGGTGTCTTCCCTAAGATTGGAGATCACCATTTCTGAGGTATGACGAGTGATGCACTTGTTGTCCATACGCAAATACACGGAAAGGTAACAAATTCAGGAAGTATTTTTCCTTATAAGCTTTTTTATTTCTGAATTTTAGACTTACCTTTTTTGCCTGGATGCATGGACTCATCAGCTGTAGTACATATGCTGGCTCCTGAATGGCCTTAGCCCTTAGTTCCTCCTGTGAGGAATTTCACTGTGTGCATTAAAGTGAAAGGAACACAATTGATATGAAGTCATATCTCCTTAAAAAACATATGGACAGTTTTAGTTGCAAATATATAATTGTATTACTTTCATGTCCATATTGAGGTTGGCTTAACACAAGCTGATCTTAACCTAGAACTTCAGAGAGTGACAATTCTATCAGCCTTCTGAAATGTCCATTGCAATATGTAAAAAGAAAAATAATTCTTGTACATAAATTTTCCAAATGAGAGTATCAGGTATAGTATATTCAATTAAAGTGCCATGAGATCATCTCTGTAGAGATTTTTCATTTCAGAGTAATGCTCATTAGACATCGATCTATTTTTCCTTTGATTATCATTTTGAGTCTAGATTTTATCCAAAGGATATGGATTTGCTGAATGAAACTCAAAATTCAACTTGTAAAACAATACATAGATGACCCTATTATGAAAGATGCCATTAAAGAAAACAACTTATTGGCTGGGTGCAGTGGCTCACACCTATAATCCCAACACTTTGGGAGGCTGAGGTAGGAGGATTGCTTCAGGTCAGGAGTTGGAGATCAGCCTGTGCAGCAGGAGTTTGAGGCTACAGTCAGCTGTAATAGTGCAACTGTACTACAGCCTGGGAGACAGAGCAAGACCTTGTTTCAGAAAAAAAACAACTTACTGCTAACCCATTTCGTTATATTAAGCCAGCATATAAAAACAGATATAAAGCATGTGCAGATGTACTATTTGTAAACGTTTCCTAGGCCTGTTATAATAAAGTGCGTACAACTAGGTGGCTTAAGACAACAGAAACCTATGTCCTGGAGGCTGGAAGTCTGAAATCTGGGTGTTGGCAGAGTCGTGTTCTCTCTGACAGGCGAGAATCCTTCCTTGCCTTGTTCAGCTGCTGGTGTTTGCTGCAATTCTTGGTTCTTTGGTGTCAATCACATGACCATCTTCTCCTGCTGTGTCTTTGCATCATTGTCCCTCTGTGTGTATCTGTGTCCAGATTTCCTATTTATAAGCAGATTAGACTATACCCTAGTGACTTTGTTTTAATGTTAATTACAAATAAAGTCACTTTCTGAGGTATTGGCGCTTAGGATTCAACATATAATTTGGGGAGGATACCATTCAGCACAAAACACTTCTGATGTTGGGAATATAGAAGATACTTATTCAGTCATTACACATTTACTGAACATCTCCTAGGTCATCGGAATGCAAAATTGAGGAAGACGTAGGCACGGTGTGGTGGCTCCTACCTGTAATCCCAGCACTTTGGGAGGCCGAGGTGGGCAGATCACCTGAGGTCAGGAGTTCGAGACCAGCCTGGCCAACATGGTGAAACCTCCTCTCTACTAAAAATACAAAAATTAGCCAGGCATGGTGGCAGGCGCCTATAGTTCCAGCTACTCAGAAGGCTGATGCAGGAGAATCGCTTGAACCTGGGAGGCAGAGTTGCAGTGAGCTGAGATCACGCCGTTGCACTCCAGCCTGGCGACAGAGCAAGATTCCTTCTCAAAGAAAAAAACAAAAGTGAGGAAGTTGTAATCCTCCCCCACGAGGAGCTGGCATTCAAGGTATGGGAGACAAATAAGCCAGCTAGTTACAAACAAACCTCTGAATAATCTTTATTATTATTCATAATCTATTCAATTATTTAAATAATAGAGAAATCTCATGGATTAAAGCAGCAGCAGTTGGGGAAGTATGTGTTTTAGGGACACTTGGGCTATAGGCTATAATCTTATGAGAGAGATATGAGAAAAGGCTTCTATGGCTACTAAATATGCAAAATGCTAGGTTAGATGGATAAACAGGGTTCTTCACTGCAAGTCTTCTCAGAGCCTTGAATATGCTATTGTGCTTTGTGAATATAGAGCTGGTGACTATGGTGTTTCCCACACATACTTGACCACATGATTCTTCTTAATGGATCATTTCAAGTAATTATGTTCCTAGGAAAACACTGGAAACTAGTGTTGAACCATGTGATCTTATTTCAAAAACCTCCGCAGAGCTAGCATAATATAATGGTTGCTAAGATAATTCATCACCCTGAGGATGGGAGCAAAGGTTTTCAGAAATTTATAGACCTCTTATGTAGATATAGCCAATCCTTCTCAAGACAGTGTGTTTCTTTCATAACGGTTGCAAGAAAATACTGATCAGTGGATTGAATTCTGTGTTTCATCCAGCAAATTTAGTGATTTTGGAATCTGGTTAAAAGCAAGTGACCTGTTCTTAAAGCAAAGTAGCATGTTTGCATCACTTCTATGAATGCAGTATTCATTGCCATATTTGAGACAATAAGCATTCGAACAGCCAGTGTTAAACTCTGCCTGAAATGCCCTTGGGAAGTTTTATACCCCATCCTGCTGTGGTTAGAAAGTATGATACACAGAATTTATTCTGGGCCTTGAAAGCATGTACATCCTGTACACTTCTGAGACACTACCACGTTAGTGATTATGTATAAACTTGAGGAAACTTGAAGCTGTGCATCAAATTCTCCTAGGAAAATCTTACAGTGAATAAATCACTTGTATTAGTAATTTAGAGTTTGAATGATATCTGAAGGCCTCTTCACTATGAGAATACTGGAAAATGCGGTGGTGGAGCGGTGGTCTTAATAGCATTAAGAGCCACAGATAAGCCAAGAGATACCTATGTGAATAGCCTGGCCCCACCTGGCTCTGATGGATTAACGGGACTGGGGAAGTTCTAGATCCTGCAAAGAAGAGTAGATTATTTATTTATTTTTGAGACAGAGTCTCACTGTGGGGTCCAGGCTAGAGTGCAGTAGCACCATCGTAACTCACTCTAACCTTGAATTCCTGGGCTCAAGGAGTCATCCCACCTCAGCCTTCTGAGTAGCTAGGACTATAGGCATGTGTCACGGCACCTGGCTAATTTTTTATTTTTTGTAGAGGTGAGATCTTGCTATGTTGCCCAGGCTGGTCTCAAATTCCTGGTCTCAAACAATCCTTCTGCTTCAACCTCCCAAAGTGTTGGAATTATGTGCACAGGCCTAACCTACTCCATGCCCAGCCTAATAGTAGTTTTATTACGGTTATTTGTTCCACCTTTTGGAAACCCATTTAGAGTAATGAAATTATAGCTAATCTGAGGCCTTGTAGAAACTCTCAAATCTGTTTACTTTCTCAAAATAGGGGAATGAAAGTTAAATTTTTCTGCAGCTTTCCAGTAACAGACTGTCCTGAGAATCACTATATTTCCTTGCATATATGTTCTTAATTATTGGGCCCCTCTCCTAATTCCTTTACCTGCAGCGTTCCATACTCAACAAATAGAGCTTAGTGATGCCCCTCCACCTCAGTGGCTCCATGAAAGAGGAGATGACACACGTACTCTCTAACCGTGGGCCAAATAACCGTGCAGGACTAAACATTAGTTCTTTTCACTTCTAAGTCTCAGAATAACGTTTTTTCTAAGCTTCCAGACTCAAATATCTCATTAAAGGTCTGTTTTGAGTTTAGGGTATTATTTGTTTGCAGAGTACATCTGTAGGGTTTGATGAGTTCCTCTCTTCTGCCTCAGTAATGGCTCAGTTTCAAAAATGAATGTAGAGACTCCTGTATTTCTTAAAGGTTTTACATTCTTTTCAGATTAACAGCCATACAGAATAGCCGTTATTCCATTGTTGTCATTGATTATAACCTTACTTGGGGTTACTCCCTGTTCAGAGAGAAAGCCCAGCACTTTCTATTCAAAAGTCTATTAGGAACAAGCAGTGTTGGGCAGTGGGTGGATCTCAGGGATGGATGCAAACTTGCCTCTGCAGTGGTGAGCCCATGTTCTCTTCCAATCCACTAAGCTCAGCCAACAGATGTTCTTAGTATTTGGCTGGTAAAAGGAAATGCAGTTTATCATTTAAAAACTGCACATTGTTGACCAGTGTTCAAGCAATAGTGTCTGGGTGGAACTTTTTTTTTTTTTTTACAGATTGCAGGCATTTCCTGATATTTCAGAGGTGAGAAAGAAGGCAGATTTGAGAGTATTTTAAGGAATACCATTGTGGTATATGCTGTTTCTCGGAGGAATAACCTTGTAGTTGAGTCAGTCCCAAGCATGAATCCACAAGACACTGTTGTTTTTATTGAGATCATATGCAAGAGCTGTTGTTTACTTAAGTTATCCTTATTTAATTGGAGCAGCTGTGAAATGTATTTGGTTCACCCATCCAAGCTGGGAGCAAACTTTTCATTAGAAAATTTCATTGATGACTAGAGTTGCTGTTTTTCTCTTGAATCAAGCCTTCCAATTTTACATATAAATAAGTAAACGGTGACTTTCAAAGCTGCAGGTTTTGTTTTATAGATGTAACTCGTTGTCACCCAAGGCAGTTGTCATCAGACAACTGAATGTTTCTTTGGGCAGCTAATTAAGGTGCTTATTGCAAACAACTTGGTGTGTCTTCTGCCCAAACCAGAATGTCTTAAAGCATTGCAAGATCACTTTCCTGGGGGAGAGTGATACTCTAAGTCATACCAAATTGGGATGTAGCACTTTTGTTTGGCAGAGCTAAAACCATTTAAATGTGTAGAAACTTTTACCAGAAAGAATGTGTCCTAATATAACCTTTAAATGTATTAAGTGAAGAAAAAAGGGGGAGCTGATCATATTACATTTAAATGATTTGTTTTCCACCTCTGGGTCATGAGTTCTTTGAGGATAGGGATGCCTGTTATCAGCTGGTAATGGCTCATGTAGTTCAGCTTGAATAACATTCTCAGCAGTTTTGAGGGGCTTTTTCAATAACCATGAAGTGAAGTTTTACATATGATTTATTACAACTTTAAAACTTTAGTTACAGATTTATAGGATATGAGTATAATTTGGCTGTATGCCTGTCACAATCTTGTGAAGAAGGAAAGACATGTTTTCCTCTTTTTTTTTTTATAAGAGGAAGGAAACAGGAACAGAAAGCGTACATGATATTATCAAAGCTGCCACTAAGATTACTTATAAAAGGAGGAATCTAAGATTCTGACTGCCATCAGACATTTTGTCAAAAAGAATAAACTTAAATTGCCTTTAAGTCTTTGGAATTACCTGTGAATTATGGGAAGAAATGAATTCTGATAGGCTTGTCAATTTTAAACTTGCTAAAATTTAGACAAGTAGAATGATGCCAAATTAGAATTTTATAAATAATGTTCTAATTTTAATATATTGACTTTTAATTATATTTGAAGTTCATTATTTTGCAATTTCTGCCTGCTTCTACTTATGAAATATTTGGATGATAACAATTCTACTTCCCTTGCAGAATTGGAGTAGATTAGGTATAATGCATATGGAAGCAGCTGGAGAAATATAAAGCATGTCAACATTTCTTATTTCTGAGTAGTGGACACAGTGATGTCACATGTTTAGCCTCAGTATGTTGTTTGGATTTAAACATTTTCTTTTACAGCTGAAAAATAAAAAGTATAGTAATATAAGGCATTATTATGTTAACTTTACTTGGGTATATTGTACATGCACTAAAATTCACTCACTATAGTATATAATGGAATGATTTTGAAAAAATGTATAGAGTTGTGCCACAAACACTGCAATTGAGTTTTGGAAAAATTCAACCAACCCCCAAATTTCTCCAAGCATATTGGTAGTAAGCCTCAATCTGAGCAATCACTGATAGGCTGTCTTGCATTTTCTGGATACTTCATATGAATGTAATCACATAATATGTTGTCTTTTGTTTATAGATTCTTTCACTTTACATAATGTTTTGAAGTCCATCCACACTGTAGCACCTGTCAGTAGTTCATTCCACTTTATTGCTGAATATTCCATTGTGTGGACATGCCACATTTACCTGTCCATGTTAAAAGAATGGACATTTGGATTCTTTCCATTATTTGGCTATTACGAATAATACTGCTGCGACTATTAGTGTGCAAGTCTTTTGTGAACATTTGTTTTTATTTCTCTTAGATTTCTAGAAGTGGAATTGCTGGGTCTTACATCATGTATGTGTGTAATTTTTAATAAACTGCCAATTTGTTACCCAAGGTGGCTATGCCAATTTTCACCAGAAATGTATGTGGTCTGGTTTCTCCACATCCTCATCAGCATTTGATATTGTCTTTTTATTTTAGTCATTTTAATGAATGTGTAATGGTATCTCATTGTGGTTCTACTTCACATTCCCTAATGAAAAATGATTTCAAGGGCTTATTGGCCATTCTTACTGCTTCTTTGGTAAAATATCTATTAAATTATTTTCCATTTTTTGAATTTACTTTTCTACTTATTATTTGGTTGTAGGAGTTCTTTATGTATTCCAGATATAAGTCCTTCATCAGATATGATTTACAAAGTAGTTTCTTACTGTCTGTGGTCTGTCTTTTCATTTTCTTATTGGAATCTTTTGAATTGAAAAGTTTTTTAGCTTCAAGTCCAGTTTATCAGTTTTTAAATTTCATGATTTGTGATTTTTGATGTCAAGACATTATTAAGTGTTTTTATTACTATATTTGTTTAGTTCATTCCTACTAACTTCTGTTGTGACAACTGAAAAATGAAACAATGAAGTGAGATATGAAAGATGTTTTGGGAAAAACTTTCTTTCTAGAAAATATTAAGAGAAAGAAGCCCAAACTGGTAGTTCAAGTGAATGATTGTGAACTCTGTTATCACCTGGGATCAGTGGGTACCTGGGAACATGGTGGTGCCTTAGCACCATGCTAGTCTCTTATAAGGAATAAGTCTTTTTATTAACATTGGCTTACCTGAGAAAAATGATAAAACTTTTGTGGGAAAAAAAATCCACCACATGAAGTCACTCGAATTAACTCATTAACACTCTTATGTTCTATCTAGGTCTAATACATGTGAGGTTACTTTTATACAGAGCAAAATACTGAGCTTAACACCTTGCATAGGTCATTTGATTAGAATGTATTGGCAAGAAGTCTGTGTTTTAAAAATCATCAAGCTTTGTATTGTTTGCATAGATATTAAAGAAGAAAGAAACATATTAAAGATATTCGAAGCTTTCTTTTCTAAAGTAAGGTATTCTATGATTTGATTTAACTTCACCTCCTGCATGTCTTACACAAGACTGTAGATTTTTTTTTTTCTGTTAAAAAGCACCCTGGTATTAATCCCAGCATTGACTTATGCCATGCTAGAGAGGTCAGGAAGGAAGCTGCTACAGAGAAGAAAAAATATATCCTCTCATTGCATCTTCTCCCTTATCCTTCCTATGCCCATGTCACAACTGGTCTGACTCCTTGGTCTTTGGGTGAGGGCTTTGAGCTAACTTTGATTTGATTTCTAGCTCTTCTAGTTACTAGCTGAATAACTTTGGACAGGCTATTCAGTCTTCTTAAGCCTGTAATTTTATTGTCGGTGAAATGTGATACTGATACTTATCAGTACTGGGTTGTTTCAGGAAGGAGGGAAAATATTCATAAATTGCCTAACATTGTGCTTAGCATATGGTAGGTGCTTTATAGGGGATTTCTGCTGTTACTATTATTGTTAATGTTATTTTCTAGATTCTTTATGATCCATAGAACTCTTACATATAGAAATAAGAGGAAGAATAATCACATTGTAGCTGGAACAAACAGGCTAAGCATGACAATGAAACTTTAATTTGCAAAAAGGTTTATTTTTCCCTAATGACCAACTAATTCATGCCCTTTCTTGTAATATATATTTTTCTTATATCATCAGAATAGAAACGAAAAAGTTTAGTTGGAGACAAAAAGACCCTAGTATGAATGTGGCCTATAAATTGAGCAATTTGAGTCTTCTGTAAAAGCTGTAAGGTGTTCTGAGGTCTGCAGAATTCCCATATTTTTTTTCTCTACTGAAGGACTCTGAAAAATTCCACAGTCAGAAGAGCTAAGACTCAGATGTTTGCTTTTTTTGAAATATCACTTCATTTCTGACATTGAATATGTAGCATTTTAAAGCCTAAACATGAAATTTTATCTCTATTTATTATCAAACGGTGCTAAGATCTTGTAGCTTTAACATAAAATCTAGTTAAAATCATATTGTAATAGTCAAGGTTCAAACATCATTAGGTATCCTAGACATGAAGTGAAAAATTTCTCTTGATATCTATGTATCATTCATTATTAAAGTCAGTAATTTAATAACAGCTGCTTAAAGGATTGGTTTTTCTGTGTCTTTCAGATTAATTTTACTGAAAATATAGAAAACTGTAAGATAAAATGACTCTGTTCTGTGTGTTCTCATGCTTAAAATTCTTAATTTCTCTCCAACATCTATTTTCGCCTTATAATTACACATCTAAATTTCTGAGCTCAAGTACAGATTCATCCACACTAACAGAAATAGGAATCTCCCCTGTAGCTGAACTACTGCCTCGTATTAAATATTATAAGGCATTTCATTAGTTCTTATGTCTACCATTAAAAATACTGCAAAGATATCTTGACAACTAAGCCACTTTATGTGGTTAAAAATTCCCAATTTGTATGAATTTAATGCGTAGGCAGTCTTAAAATTAGTTAATGTAACACGTGTTTCACCCAAGCAGGAGCAGGCCTTGTACAGGTGCCACTCTACAGAAGGGTTGCAGGTGTTGCTTACCTGGTCTGCACACTTGAGGCACAGAATCTGAATAGTGATTTCCACTTGGCTGCATCTCCACTTGGCTCAGGTGGCTTTCCTTAAGGATACCTAAAAGAGTTACCTTAATATTGAAAAGAATGGGGCCAACATATATTGACTAGGCACAATATACAATGGATGGGAGAATTGCGGTATTTTATTGACAAAAATGACTAAAATTATTAAGCCTACATTTGGTATGGAATGGTAAAGAAGTATGCTAGATAGCTTAAATGTAAAAACATACTTAGAAAATTAAAATGAAAATATAATGTGATTTTGATTTATATTCAGATCCCCTGTCTAAGAAATGGGTGAGCCTCAGCCTCACTTGGGTTCATCTAGTCTTGTTGCTTTTCTTTCCTTATTCACCTGCCTTCTGTTTCTCCCTGGCTCTCTTCTCTGTACCATATGATGTTTTGTTCCAGGATGAGGTTTCCTAGATTTTCACTCTCTGATATGGCAGCCACTGGCCCTGTGTGGCTACTAGAATTAGGTTAAAATTAAATAAAATTAAAAATTTAAATCCTCAGTTGCACTAGCCACATTTAAATTTCTCAATAGCCATGTGGAGTTAGTGTCTACCATATCAGACAGGGCAAAATAGAGCCTTTTCATCATTATAAGAATTTCTACTGGGCAGTGCTTCTCTAGGCCAATTGTGTCTGTATGTTAGAGCTAAGACACTAACTGCAGAATATTTTTAGATTTTTACTTTCCGAAATCAATCACCTTTTAGACACTGGTCCTCATTAACTGCTGTTTTATTGTCTTACCTGCTGCTCTATGTATTTACTGCACTGCTCTGTGGAATGGTGGAAATTAAGGTTCTTCATTCTTCTCTATGCAATGTGATTGCTGCCATATAGCCTGATGTGCCATATAGCCTGGCCAAGTCTCCCCCACTGGCCAGAAGAATCTAATCTTTGTTTATTCCCTGTATCCCCAAAAAAGATATCTTTTCATTGAAGAATACTTCTGATCTTTGATTTTTAAAAATAATATTCTTAATGTGTAGCACTTCAGAAAAAAGACCTAGGTGTCATATTATATATTTTTGCTTGTAATTGAGACAGACAAAGATGGGAGAAATGAAATTTGCTATTGTAAGTGGATGATGGACAATTTTTAAAAATGCCTTAGCAACAATTATAATTAATATACACAAAACATGAATTGTATAACATGTCTGTTTCAACACCACCTGGTGGATGTCAACAGATCACCAATGTCCATTGAACATATTTTGATAATCGCTGCTTCAGAACATCAAATACCTCAGAAATAGCCCAATTTTATTTAGGTTTAAAAATATTCTAACAAGGCCAGGCGCAGTGGCTCTTGCCTGTAATCCCAGCACTTTGGGAGGCTGAGGTGGGCGGATCGCTTGAGCTCAGGAGTTCAAGACCAGCCTGGGAAACATGTCTCATTTTGTAGAGACACTGTCTCTACAAAAAATTTAAAAGTTAGCCAGATATGGTGGTATGCACTTGTGGCCTCAGCTACTCAGAAGGCTAAGGCGGGAGGATGGCTTTAGCCCGGGAGGCAGAAGTTGCAGTCAGCTGAGATTGCACCACTGCACACCAGCCTGGGAGGTACAGCCAGACCTTGTCTTAAAAAAAAAATCTATCCATCTATCTATCTATTCATATTCTAATTGGTTATATAACTGCCTGCCATATTTGCAAGTTGAGTTGATTACTGGACTGCTCACAAGAATTATGAAGCCATTCATATTGCATGTTTAATGTTAAATTTTGCCACTCTGATATATTTATTTTTTTTGATCTGAGCTAAACAACTTTCTAGTTTCTTCTGAACAATCCTATATATTTAATTTACTCCATTTGGTCAGTACTGTATTGGTAAGCTTTCTTAAGTTGACTCCTGAGAAAACACCGATGAGCTAAACATTGTAACGTGAAAATGAAACTGAGGACACCATGCAATAAATAACATGGAAGACATAAAATGGCACCAGGAATGGCTATGTTTTCTATTTGTTGCTGTGTAGTTGAGATTGAGCTAGATCAAACTCAGTCTAGAATCACTGTTACTTTAACCGTTAAGCTTTAATATGTGATGCCACTATATGAAGCATCCTTTCAAGAGGAGACATTTTAGCAAGTTTTACACTATCAAGCAATTTGCAGGCACATGGTAGAAAGAGATAACTTGATAATATTTGTAAGAGTAAGGTATTTTATTAAAAAGGCCATTATGGAGCATACCGTAATTCTATAAATTTGGATCTAAAAAAGATAGTATAGAAGAGTTAAAATAATTTCCTATGTTAAATTATTTCTGGCAAAGCGAGTCAATGTTTTAGACAGATGAGTATAACTTTTGTCCTGAAAATGAGTATTATAGAATTAACAGAATTGCATAAAAATGAGGTTTGTGGTTTATTGAGCAGTTAATACTCCTGTCTTGCTTTGGAAGCAGAGCCATAAATAGCTTAGAATTTATCCAGTGGTTTAAAATATATTCTCCAGCAATATTGCCTAAATTTCTTTGTCATTTTGGAGGAAAATGTCAATGTTTTCCTGCAAAGAAAATAACCACCTGCATAGGGATGGTGCTTATTAAAATCATGTTCACAAGATTAAGTAGATAACCAGAAAGAAGTTTCCTCCAGTAAACTTTGTTCTCTGGGCTATGTACAGAAAGAATGTAAACAAAAGTCCCTTAAGCACCTAAAAGGCATGCTTAAACCCAATTTATCTGCTTTTTCTTTCCCCAGATGTGGGTCTCCTGTTAGTTCTAGAGTTTTGCTATAAGCACTTTCAAGAAACCATGTCTTAAAACACATTATACTTTTCCAAAGAAACAATGCTTTTGAAATGCATTGCATTTCTAAACAAGAGTAGACAATTGTAACAAGCAGAAAGGTATAAATAACATTGAGGTTCAGCTAAAATTCACTGTCATCCTCTAAAATAATATTCTTCTAAGCCTGTATACTGAATAAAAATATTGTATCTCTTAGTTATATAGAGAGGTTTAATACATTAGAACTTAAATATTCCGCTCTTAAAATTTGACATGCTTAAAATAAATATGGCGAGTATGGTTGTTATGATAAACATTTGATTATTAATACTTTCCATGCCAGATAATTTAGAAGAATGTTTTCTTTAGGAATGATTTGAATTGCTCCTCTGAAATTTCTTTCAAAATTGATTATTCTCATGTACTTGCACATATTCACACTATTGGAATCTCACAACCAAGTAAAGATGGTTTAATCCATTCTGCAGTTTTGACTCAGGGTCAGAGAGAAATTCACTTAAGATTCACATGTTTTAATATATTTTTATTGCAATTTTTTAAAAAAAGACCTTTCAATCTAGCATAAGTAAAGAGATACTCATTATAATGCAACCTCATAGACATTGAAGGCTTGGAAATGGAGTCTGTTTGTGCTGTGTGGTGCCAGGCCTTACAGACTGGGAGCTGGTGGTCTGACAATATTTGGTATAAAGATTGACCATTCACTTGTACATACATGGCAGCGCTTGAGCAGGGAAGGTAAGATGGAGTCACTTACAAACAAATAACTGGATGGTACTGGCATCTCAAAATGTAGCTGCTAGAGAGCAGGACCCAAATGCATATGCAGGTCTTTTGATTCCAAGCCAAGGCCTCTTTTCGCTATATGTATGGTAACATTTAAGTGATTACTTAATAATTTTAGATAGTTGGAATGAGTTCATCCTATAATTTTAAGTTTTGATCATCCTTTTAAAGCAAATATAGGACCTCAACATTTGAAGCCTTTCAAGATTTTTTTTTTTTTTTTTTTTTAAAGATGGAGTCTCCGTTTGTCACCCAGGCTGGGGTGCAGTGGAGCGATCTTGGCTTACTGAAAGCTCCACCTCCTGGGTTGACACCATTCTCCTGCCTCAGCCTCCCGAGCAGCTGGGACTACAGGTGCCTGCCACCACGCCCGGCTAATTTTTTATATTTTTTAGTAGAGATGGGGTTTCACTGTGTTAGCCAGGATGGTCTTGATCTCCTGACCTTGTGATCCACCCGCCTTGGCCTCCTAAAGGGCTAGGATTACAGGCGTGAGCCACCGTGCCCCGCCGACTTTCAAGATTTTAAGTGTGAAAGTTTAAAAGTAGTTTATTTTTTCTTTGACTTTATTCTTTTCCCATAAATGACATTAATACAACTTAAGAAAGTGAAATTAAAAGGGCAGAGAAAAGAGTCAAGGAGTCATATTTCTTTGTCACAGTGATTGTGGCTGTGGTTACGGAGCATGTGTGTAAGTTAAAGACAATGGCAGGGTTATGCAATGAATATATACTTATTAACCTGCTTTGATGGAAGTACTGCTATATCAGTTAGCATAGGCTAAAGTATGCTGCAATAGCCACCCCAAAATCCACATTTTCTAAATCTGGCTCTAGAACCACATTTTCTTCAATTGATTCTCAGGCTGATAGGTAGTAGTATATTGTTGTGTCAGAAAGAAAAGAGACGATGTGCAATGCATTGGTTCTTAAGACCAGAAATAGCATACGTCACTTCTGCCTACATTTCATTGGCCAAATCAAATCACATAGCTATAGCTCAATTAAACTAGGTGAGATGTAAAATATTCCTGCAGAAAAGGGGCACCATAGAGGGTGCCATAGAATATGAGTGAACAGAAATCTAACCCATCACAACCTCCTTCTAACCTCTTCACTTGTTTCCTGGAATCACCAGAGGGAAGGTGATTGTATTTTTCTGTTACATTAATTAGTCAAAATGTGTCTGTCACAGACACACACACAGAGTCAGCCCTCTGTAACTGTGGGTTTTGCATCCATTGATTCAACTAATAAAGGATCAAGATTTTAAGAAAAATCCATATTGAACATGTACAAACTTGTTCTTGTCATTCCCTAAATAGTAATAACTATTTATATAGCATTTACATTGTTTTAAGTATTACAAGTGACCTAGAGATGACTTAAAGTGTACGAGAGGAGGACGTGCATAGGTTGTATGCAAATACCATGCTATTATAAAGGATTTGAGCATCCTCAGACTTTGATACCTGTGAAGAGCCCTGGAACAAATCCCCCGTGGATACCAAGGGACATCTGTGTGTATGTATATACATATGCATGTATATGTATATATATCATATGTACATATATACACACACAGATACACATTTAACAGCTGTCTTTAATTGAATGGCAACTCTATATTAGTCATTATGTTAGATAGTTCATATATATTAGGCCTTGTAACAGACAGAGTTAAGTATTAGTAAACTTGTACAAGATGAGAGATTTAAGATCGAGAGCTTAAGCATGACTTCCAACCAAAGTTACATGGTACCAGCAGGAGGTTCTATATCTACTAGGGAAGAGTCCAGGCTCTAGAATAAGCAGCCTGTGTTTGAATCCAAGCCTTGCCACTTTCTAGCTATGTGGCCTTGGTTATGTAGCTCTTAGTTTTCCTCTTGGTATAATGTAGGTAATAATCATGCCTATTTTATAGGGGTTGTGTAGACTTAATGCATATGAAGTGTTTATCACTGGGCCTGGTGCATATTAATCGCTGAATATACAAGATGTTAAATATCACTCAAACACAAACATGTCAATTCTTTCCATCTGGTAGATCATACTGGTCTTGAGAAGTGAAATAGCAGTGACTTAGGCCTTAGTTGTATAGGTGGAGCTGTGAAAGTTGAGAGGAAAATCTGCCCATGTCATGTCACAGGACATGATACTCACTCTCCTCCAAATGGAGGCGTAAAGTAATAAAAGTGGTATATGATATAGTATAACACTTTGAAAACATATGTTGCCACAGTGAAATAATGAAGAAGGAACAGTGAAAACTGCAAATGGAGGATTAAAACTCATGTCAACATAAGACACATCTGTCCAGATTGTAGTACAACTCTGATTAGCCCATTTATCATAAGAGAACCCTCATTTGCAAGCAATTACTGATTGTTAGTGTGCTATTCCACCAAAGCGCTTTGTTTCATAATAAACTGACAAAGCGTATCTTAATCTAATCTTTTGTTTGGGGACTCTTTTTGAAATAAGACATAAACATAGTGGTTTTACCTGTGGTCAGCCTAGAGAACCTTGAGTACTGTCTGTTCAAAATAGTAGTTGTAGTAGCTCACCTTTATGGAGGACTTCATAGCTGCCGGGTTGATCAAGTGTTTGTTTACTCATTTCATCTTCCCAGCAGTCCTACAAGGTAGGTGCTACTAATACTCTCATTTTACATATAAGGAAACTGAGATACATGATCATATTGTCCATGATCATATATCTGATATGTGATTGTGGCTGAAATAGATTAATACCAAGATTGTTCAGACTTCAGAGTCCATGTTTAACCATTCTTTGAGTACATACATTATTTTTAATCTTTCAAAAACCCTTATTGAAGTAACATATTCATCATTATCATCGCTGCATAAACTGTTTAAAATGTCCTTTTCTTTGGACTGAAAGGACAACAAATTTTTTTTAAAATAAAGGTCTGAGAGGGAAATAACAAATTTGAGATCTTTGGTGGGGAACTGAGATAAAACTAATATTTAAAGCAGAACCTAGGAATTGAAACCCATATAGGCTGAATCCAGTTTATTAAAGTGTTAGTTTACACCTAACATGGTTAAACAAAATGAAAACAACAAAAAAAACTTAAAAGTTGGCTATCTTTGGTCAAGATGTGCAGTTGCTAGCTCATTTCACTTTCCATCTACCTTACTTCCTCCTCATTGAGTGTGTCGCCCCTGGCTTAAAGAGAAGCTCCAAATTAGTTTCCTGAAGTCTTTGTTGCTGTTAGTATTTCATTCAAAATCCAGGATTTCTTTTGTCCTATTTTCTGTTTACTGCACTTTCTTCCAACAATATAGCTTTAAATACTGTGTATGGTATCTAGTTCTTGAGGTTAGGAAGTTGTATTCACCATCTCTTCTGCATTCAATGTGATGAACCAATTATTATCATGACCAGCTAATCCATTCAATAGTAGTTGATCTCGGGTTCTGTAAAAATTTAGCCTATAAAAGGGTGTTATGATTCTAACAGTTGAAGCTGGATAATGAATTCTTACATTCTTGCAAGGAAATGCTCCTACTGTGCCTTGTTCATCACTAAACTAGTTTAGTAGAATGTAAATACAGTCTTAAAATTCATTAAAACAAAATTTTTATGTAAAAGTCAGGAAATATTTTTTATTACCAAGCATTTTGAATATCAGTGCCCATTAAACATATTAATACAATGAGTAGGTAAAACTATAGATGTTAACATGAAATGTATGTTTCACTGCCATAAGTCTGATATATAAAGCAGTTGTTGAAAAATTATTTGGTCATGCTATAAGATGATAGTTTCTTGTGGCACCATGTTTAAGCTTTGACTTTATTATAGAAATGTTACTAAATAGTTTTATAGAAGGTGTGTGTTCAGGAAAGGTGTTGGGGTAAATACTTAATGATTGTAGTTATAAAGAAACTTTGACCTATAAAATGTTCTCATGTGATTCTTCAATTTAGTACATTTGGTGGCATAGGGGTGACATTTAGGGTGCTGTTGAGAGGCATAGGTGTGGAATTAAGGGCATAGACTCTGGACTTATGTTGTCTGAGATTGAATCCTGGCTTGGCCACTGCCTTGATGTTAATCTCTGTACCTCGGTTTCTTCAACTGCAAAATGGGGATAATAACAGCATCTCTCCACATGTAGTTGTGGTGAATTAAAATGACTTAATCTGTGGAACATGCTTAGAACAATGCCAGGATCTAACGTATTAAGCAGATCTGAGTGTGGGTCTTTATCACTAACATGATTCTCATTGAGAACATCCTTGATTCTTCAATACCAGAAAAAAAATTTAAACCAAGCAAGTAGACATGCAACTGAAAATACTTTATTTATTTATTTTTTTTGGAGACAGTCTCACTCTGTCGCCCAGGTTGGAGTAAAGTGGTGCGATCACGTTCGCTGCAACCTCTGCCTCCCGGGTTCAAGCAATTCTCATGCTTCAGCCTCCCAAGTAGCTGAGACTACAGGAGCATGCCACCAGGCCCGGCTAAGTTTTTGTATTTTTAGTAGAGATGGGATTTCGCCAGGTTGCGCAGGATAGTCTCAAACTCCTGAGCCCATGCAATCAGCCTGCCTCAGACTCCAAAAATACAAAGAAAGTATTGGCTACAGGCTTGAGCCACCATGCCGGCCAATACTTTCTTTTCAAACTTTTCATATTGAAGAGTCTCTAGGGAAACAACCTCTGCACAGTGCTTGAGAAGGAGCTTGCATTTAGCCAGTCCCAGTTATTGATGAAGTTTGAGGTCAAGGTTTTTGACTGCTGGAGTGTTCCCATTCATCACATTCACACAATGTTCAACTCTTGAAGTACTCTGTATGCTGTAGAAATGAATTGAGTCTTTTTATTTTTTTCCTATCATCATTAGCTTTTTCAGAAGCAACATTTGATGGCAAAATACTCTCTATTTGTTAAATGAATGAAGTATGAAGGGAAAGACTTTCACTCCAGGCACATCCTGGACATTGGTACATTAATTGTTCCACACTGACACAGAGTTGGTGTCATTACTAAGAGCTGAGGGTAGATCTGAAAAGTTAACCATTATATAATTTTGCAGGTGCTCCCTTTGTAATTGGTAAGCATTACCTCAAGTTTATAACAGGCCTGTGATACAATCAATACAGCTGGAATTGGTGATTGCATTTTCTTATTAAACTTTAGATTTTAGATAAATGGCAAGACAAGAACACTCTACCTCCTGAAGACTGACAATTGTCATTACACGTTTCTGCAAACTCCCCAACTTCCTGTGTCACTATAATTGATCTTGGTCACAGGAATGCATTAAAGCTCACTATGAGAGGGATCTGTAAGTCTGTTTTCCCTTGGGCCCTGGCTTGTGTATTAAATGGGAGAAGTAAACATTTCAGGACAAAAGTCGGCTTTCTTTCTCTCTCGCTCTCTCTCTTTGTAGCAAAAATCTAAGAGGCCTGCATGGTAGAAAAAAATAGGAGCTCTATTTTTACCTCCAGCTCCTTGTAGGCTCCTTATAGAAACAAGGATACATGGAAAAGGAGCTCATTAAAATTATATGTATTATGCTTTTCACTCTCCATCTGCACCCTTTGGTAGAGGAGTTGAGGGAACCCAGCAATGCCACAAAAACAACCACTATTAGTTCAAATCTTGCATTCATACATATTTATAATAAACTTAGAATGTTCATCTATTCATTCCTACAGTTGGATTGATGACAGGCTATGGATATTCTTTTCAAGTAAATTTTTCAAAAATTCTCTTAATTGAGTTTGTGTGAAACCTTGTTAATTGTGGGTAGGTCAGTGTAAACTATGACAACTTTGCAACGCCTGCCCAAAATAGAAGTTAGAATTTTTAGAATAGTTACTGTTTGTGCTGCATTTATTTGCACATCATTACTTATAAAGTTATTCCTTAGTAACTTGTTTCTGGTCTTGTTTTTTCTTGCATTCAGCTAGATATTTGGAAGAAACTTGTTAATGTCCTGTAGGACTAATAACAAATAACCTTTGACTACGATTTCATTCCTTAAAACACATAGCAGTACTGGGAATTTAGTGGGTATTCAGTAAATACTTGCTGATTAGTCAATTATACTTTCCTAGTTTTTTAAAATAAGGGAATAGGGATAACTGTTGCCTAAAATTGTATCCCAAAGAACTGATTATTTCCTTTTTTTTTTTAATTTTACTTTAAGTTCTGGGATACATATACTGAAAGTGCAGGTTTGTTACATAGGTATACAAGTGCCATGGTGGTTTGCTGTACCAATCAACCTGTCATCTAGTTTTTAAGCCCTGCATGCATTAGGTATTTGTCCTAATGCTCTCCCTGCCCCTTTTCCCCACCCCCTGACAGGCTCTGGTGTGTGGTGTTCCCATCCTTGTGTCCATGTGTTCTCATTGTTCAACTCCCACTTATGACTGAGAACATGTGGTGTTTGGTTTTCTGTTCCTGTCTTAGCTTACTGAGAATGATAGTTTCCAGCTTCATCCATGTCCCTGCAAAGAACATGAACTCATTCTTTTTATGGCTGCATAGTATTCCATGGTGTATATGTGCCACATTTTCTTTATCCAGTCTGTCATTAATAAGCATTTGGGTTGGTTCCAAGTCTTTGCTATTGTGAACACTGCTGCAATAAACATACATGTGCATGTTTCTTTATAGTAGAATGATTTATAATCCTTTGGGTATATACTTAGTAATGGGATTGCTGGGTCAAATGGTATTTCTGGTTCTAGATCCCTGAGGAATCGCCACACTGTCTTGCACAATGGTTGAACTAATTTGCACTCCCATCAACAGTGTAAAAGTGTTCCTATTTCTTCACATCCTCTCCAGCATCTGTTGATTGCTGACTTTTTAAAAAAATTATTATACTTTAAGTTCTGGGACACATGTGCAGAACAGCCAGGTTTGTTACATAGGTATACACGTGCTATGCTGGTTTGCAGCACCCATCAGCCCTTCACCTACATTAGGTATTTCTCCTAACACTATCCCTCCTCTAGCTCCCCCGATCTCCCGACAGGCCCCAGTGTGTGATGTTCCCCTCCCTGTGTCCATGTGTTCTCATTGTTCAACTCCCACTTATAAGTGAGAACATGTGGTGTTTGGTTTTCTGTTCTTGTGTTAGTTTGCTGAGAATGATGGTTTCCAGCTCCATCCATGTCCCTACAAAGGACATGAACTCATCCATTTTTATGGCTGCATAGTATTCCATGGTGTTTATGTGCCACATTTTCTTTATCCAGTCTATCATTGATGGACATTTGGCTTGGTTCCAAATCTTTGCTATTGTGAATAGTACTGCAATAAACATACGTGTGCATGTGTCTTTAGAGTTGAATGATTTATAATCCTCTGGGTATATACCCAGTAATGGGATTGCTGGGTCAAATGGTATTTCTAGTTCTAGATCCTTGAGGAATTGCCACACTGTCTTCCACAGTGGTTGAACTAATTTACACTCCCACCAACAGTGTAAAAGCATTCCTATTTCTCCACATCCTCTCCAGTATCTGTTGTTTCCTGACTTTTTAGTGATTGCCATTCTAACTGGCGTGAGATGGTGTCTCATTGTGGTTTTGATTTGCATTTCTCTAATGACCAGTGATGATGAGCTTTTTTTCATGTTTGTTGGCTGCATACATGTCTTCTTTTGAGAAGTGTCTGTTCATATCCTTTGCCCACTTTTTGATGGGGTTGTTTCTTTTTATCTTGTAAATTTGTTTAAGTTCTTTGTAGATTCTGGATATTAGTCCCTTGTCAGATGGGTAGATTGCAAAAATTTTCTCCCATTCTGTAGGTTGCCTGTTCACTTTGATGATAGTTCTTTTGCTCTGCAGAAGCTCTTTAGTTTAATTAGGTTCCATTTGTCTGTTTTGGCTCCCTGGCTTCAGCCCATTTCTAGGGGAGTGAACCGTTCTGTTTTGCTGGTGTTCCAGGCATCATTGGGGTATGGAAAAACAAAACAAAACAAAAAACAACAAAAAAAGCAAACTCCTGCAGCTAGCTCGGTGTCTGCCCAAATGGCCACCCAGTTTTGTGCTTGAAACCCAGGGCCCTCGTGGCGTATGCACAGGAGGGAATCTCCTGATCTGTGGGTTGCAAAGACAGTGGGAAATGTGAAGTATCTGAGCCAGAGTGCATGGTTCCTCAGGGTCAGTCCCTCACGCCTTCCCTTGGGTAGGGGAGAGAATTCCCTTACCCCTTGTGCTTCCCAGGTGAGGCGATGCCCCACCCTGCTTCGGCTCATCCTCCGTGGGCTGCACCCACTGTTCAACCAGTGCCAATGAGATGAGCTGGGTACCTCAGTTGGAAATATATAAATCACTCTCCTGCTGCTTTGATTTCGCTGGGAGCTGCAGACGGGAGCTGTTCCTATTTGACCATCTTGCCAGCAATCCTTCCTGACTTTTTCATGATCACCATCCTAACTGGCTTGAGATGATATCTCATTGTGGTTTTGATTTGCATTTCTCTAATGACCAGTGACGATGAGCTTTTTTCAATATGTCTATTGGCTGCAAAAATGTCTTCTTTTGAAAAGTGTCTGTTCATATCCTTTGCCCACTTTTTGATGGTTTTTTTTTCTTGTAAATTTAAGTTCTTGTCAATTCTGGATATTAGACCTTTGTCAGATGAAAGGACTGCAAAAATTTTCTCCCATTCTGTAGGTTGCCTGTTCACTCTGATGATAGTTTCTTTTGCTGTGCAGAAGCTCTTCAGTTTAATTAGGTACCATTTGTCAGTTTTGGCTTTTGTTGCCATTGCTTTTCATGTTTTAGTCATGAAGTCTTTGTCCATACCTATGTCCTGAATGGTATTGCCTGGGTTTTCTTCTAGGGTTTTTATGGGTTTAGGTTTCAAGTCTTTAATCCATCTTGAGTTCATTTTTCTTTAAGGTGTAAGGAAGGGGGTCCAGTTTCTCATTTCTGCATATGGCTAGCCAGTTTTCCCAGCACCATTTATCAAATAGGGAATCCTATCCCATGGACTTTTTTTTTGTCACGTTTGTCGAAGATCAGATGGTTGTAGATATGTGGCGTTATTTCTGAGGCCTTTGTTCTGTTCCATTGGTCTATATATCTGTTTTGGTACCAGTACCATGCTGTTTTGGTTACTGCAGCCTTGTAGTATAGTTTGAAGTCAGGTAGCGTGATGCCTCCAGCTTTGTTCTTTTTGCTTAGGATTGTCTTGGCTATACGGGCTTTTTCTTGGTTCCATGTGGAATTTAAAGTAGTTTTTTCTAGTTCTGTGAAGAAACTCAGTGGTAGCTTGATAGGAATAGCATTAAATCTATAAATTACTTTAGGCAGTATGACCACTTTCACGATATTGATTCTTCCTATCCATGAGCAAGGAATGATTTTCCATTTGTGTTCTCTCTTATTTCCCTGAGCAGAGCAGTGATTTGTAGTTCTCCTTGAAGAGGTCCTTCACATTCCTTGTAAGTTGTGTTCCTAGGTATTGTAATCTCTTTGTAGCAATTGTGAATGGGAGTTCACTCATGATTTGGCTCTTTGTTTGTCTATTGTTGGTGTACAGGAATGCTTGTGATTTTTTCACATTGATTTTGTATCCTGAGACTTTACTGAAGTTGCTTATCAGCTTAAGGAGATTTTGCACTGAGACGATGGGGTTTTCTAAATATACAATCATATCCTCTGCAAAGAGAGACATTTTGACTTCCTCTCTTCCTGTTTGAATACTCTTTATTTCTTTCTCTTCCCTGATTGCCCTGGCAAGAACTTCCAATACTATATTGAATAGGAGTGGTGAGAGAGGGCATCCTTGTCTTGTGCTGGTTTTCAGAAGGAATGGTTCCAGCTTTTGCCCATTTGGTATGATACTGGCTATGGGTTTGTCATAGATAGCTCTTATTAGTTTGAGATATGTTCCATCAACACCTAGTTTACTGAGTGTTTTTAGCATGAAGCAGTGTTAAATTTCATCGAAGGCCTTTTCTGCATCTATTGAGATAATCATGTGGTTTTTGTCATTGGTTCTGTTTATATGATGGATTACATTTATTGATTTGCATATTGTTGGACCAGCCTTGCATCCCAGGGATGAAGCTGAATTGATCATGGTGGATAAGCTTTTTGATGTGCTGCTGGATTCGGTTTGCCAGTATTTTATTGAGGATTTTTGCATTAATGTTCATCAGGGTATTTGCCTGAATTTTTTTTGTGTGTGTTTGTTTTGTGTCTCTGCCAGGTTTTGGAAACAGGATAAGGCTGGCCTCATAAAATCAGTTAGGGAGTAGCCCCTCTTTTTCTATTGTTTGGAACAGCTCCAGAAGGAATGGTACCAGCTCCTCTTTGTACCTCTGGTTGAATTTGGCTGTGAATCCATCTGGTCCTGGGCTTTTTTTCTTAGTAGGCTATTAATTACTGCCTCAATTTCAGAACTTGTTACTGGTCTATTCAGAGACTCAACTTCTTTCTTGTTTAGTCTTGGGAGGGTGTATGTGTCCAGAAATTTATCCATTTCTTCTAGGTTTTCTAGTTTATTTGCATAGAGGTGTTTACAGTATTCTCTGATGGTAGTTTGTATTTCTGTGGGATCAGTGATGATATCCCCTTTATCATTTTTTATTGCGTCTATTTGATTCTTCTCTCTTTATTAGTCTGGCAAGCAATCTATCAATTTTGTTAATCTTTTCAAAAAAACAGCTCCTGGATTCATTGATTTTTTTGTAGGGTTTTTTGGGTCTCTATCTCCTTTAGTTCTGCTTTGATCTTGGTTATTTCTTGTTTTCTGCTAGCTTTTGAATTTGTTTGCTCTTCTTCTCTAGTTCTTTTAATTGTGATGTTAGGGTGTCGATTTTAGATCTTTCTCACTTTCTCTTGTGGGCATTTAGTGCTATAAATTTCCCTTTAAACACTGCTTTAGTTGTATCCCAGAGATTCTGGTACATTGTGTCTTTGTTCTCATTGGTTTCAAAGAACTTTGTTATTTCTGCCTTAATTTCATTATTTACCCAGTAGCTATTCAGAAGCAGGTTGTTCAGTTTCCATGTAGTTGTGCGGTTTTGAGTGAGTTTCTTAATCCTGAGTTCTAATTTGATTGCACTGTGGTCTGAGAAAATGTTTGTTACGATTTATGTTCTTTTCCATTTGCTGAGGAGTGTTTTACTTCCAATTATGTGGTCGATTTTAGAAGAAGTGCTACGTGTTGCTGAGAAGAATGTATATTCTGTTGATTTGGGATGGAGAGTTCTGTAGATGTCTGTTAGATCCGCTTGGTCCAGAGCTGAGTTCAAGTCCTGAATATATTTGTTAATTTTCTGTCTCATTGATCTAATATTGACAGTGGGGTATTACAGTCTCCCACTATTATTGTGTGGGAGTCTAAGTCTCTTTGTAGGTCTCTAAGAATTTGTTTTATGAATCTGGGTGTTCCTGTATTGGGTGCATATATATTTAGTATAGTTAGCTCTTCTTGTTGCATTGATCCCTTTACCATTATATAGTGCCCTTCTTTATCTTTTCTGATCTTTGTTGGTTTAAAGTCTGTTTTATCAGAAACTAGAATTGCAATCCCTGCTTTTGAACTGATTGTTTCCTAAGGTTCTCATGACAAATGGATTTCACTTCGGCATCTGTTGTTGGGTGTAAACCTTTGCTTGTGGTTATAGTCTTTCCTATTAATAAATTACAAAGACTTGGACCATGTTCTTTCATTACAGTTATGTAGTTGCTTGTCTCAGCAGAGGCAGTATTCAGTAGTGGCTAAGAGCATAGGCTAATTCTGTTTCTGCCACTTAGTAGCTATGTAACCTTGGAGGTTGTAATATTACCTACCTGTTACTGGGAGAGTTAGAAAGATGTAAATAACTTAGAAAAGAGCCTAACATAGTATAAGGGCCCTGTTAGTGATAACTTTTATTAATAGCTTTAAAAATGTGAGTTTCTGACAGTAATTTCAGAACTATCGAAATATGTGGAATTTGACAAGCTATCTGGAGATGGAACTGCTTATTTTATTTGGAGAAGTTTGTAGCTGTTTGCACTGGGTTTATTTTCTGACCTTGGACTCCTTTCTTCATCATAAGCCTTTTTCCTTAGAGATTTTACTCAAAAAAGACAATCTTTATGTCTAGAGGAGACAGGCAAAATTACAGACAAATACTGCTTATTTTCATCAGGTTTTGTCACCACTATATTGAATATATGTAATGGGTGTATTAATGGGTCTAATCAGTGTCTAATGGGTTGATATGACCTTTGATAATACTAGTATGTAACCAATTAGACTTTAAGATGATGTTTTTTAATGAAAAGGGAGTTTGGGGTATTTCTTTTTAGCTAAAACTGGTTTACATATGAAGAACAGTAACTTGCTCTTTAAGTCCTTTTTTATTTTCCTATGTCTTGTTTTTGTAGATTTAGGGGGAAAAGCAGTCTATTACGTGGATATATTGTGTAATGGTAAAGTCTGGGCTTTCAGTGTAGCTATCACCTGAATAGGGAACATCGTACCCGTTAGGTAATTTCTCATCACTCACCCCCTCCCACCTTTCCAAGTCTCCAGTGTCTGTTATTTCACTCTCGATTCACATGTATACACATTATTTAGTTCCCAATGACAAGTGAGAATGGGCAGTATTTGACTTTCTTAAGTACTTTTAGACTATTATATATCTTTCTTAATTTTTGATACTAAGGTATTATAAAAGAATTCTTGAGACTTTAGCAAATATGATAACATTCAAGCAAGCACTGTGGAAAGATATTAAACATTACACTTTAAGAGTCTACAAACCACTAGCTAAATATTAAAAATTTGATCTCATAGGTTAAAAAAAGTAACTTTTTTCCCCATTGGGTCTACACAGATTTAAATAACTTGGTTCTCATACCCTGATGTTTTTTGAAATGTATTTATTCAAATCCGTTATGGGGATAAGGGTTTGTAAGGTCTTTCTCTTTAATTCCAGGGAGATTGGCCTAACTTTACAACTCATCAACAATTCCAAGTTATCAGTTAGCTGCCAAGTTTGCTGCTTTAGACATCAAATAGCCTCTAAAATCCAACTCTAAATCTCAGTAGATTTCCTTCTAACCACATCTGAATCATGGTCCACTGTTGTAAAGTGCTGAATTAAATCAACCAGATACTATTTCTGACTCTACTCCTCACTGTCAAAATGAAACTTCTAGTGGATCAATTAGGGAACATTGATTTTTTTAAAAAAGGCTTTTATTCTAGATAGAACTTATTAAACCACAAGAGTATCTCTGTATATTTATATACAGACTTGATCTGTAACTCAGATGGTCCCCCTCCCAACTTTTGCCAGTGTGATGTTGGAATACAATTTGCAGGGAACTGTAGTCTATTTTAAAAAATGGGCTTCCATGAGTATTCATTGCTTAATGCAAGCAGAAAATACAAACACCATATTTAGAGTGTGCATTTTTTTAAAAGATGCATTTCAACATTAGAGACTGCAAAGGGTTTTAAATAAATCTGCTTTGCTTACTTGTAATAATCTGCTGTTAATTATTGTCAATTTTTTTGTTTTTGATTTTTGAGATAGGCTCTCACTCTGTCACATAGGCGGGAGGATTGCAGTGGCTCCATCGCAGCTCATTGTAGCTTTGAACTCCTGGGCTCAAAGCAATCCTTCCACCTCAGTCTCCTGAGTAGCTAGAAACACAGACATGTGCCAGCACTCTTGGCTAATTTGGTTATAGTGTATCTTGAGTAAATCACCTCAATGAGAATTTTAGGTTACATATAATCCAAATTAGAGAAAAGCTCCTATGCTCTGTGATAGTATTTGCTTAAAAACTCCTTCAAAAGCATTAACAATCTGATCAGATTTGTAAGTATTTAAAATAGAATTTGTCCAGGAACAAACTAACTACACAAAATGCAGAACACCATTGGCTTGATTCCATATGTTCTATTTCCATTCCAAAAGTGGTGCTTTTTCCCAGGTGAGCTCTGGTTTTATGTAATGACTGTTTTTATAATGAACTGTCAAAACTAAAATATATAAGTTAATGTTGCTTTAAGATAATCACTACATTAGAGGTTACAAACTTATTCAATAAATGTTGCTACTATTCCAGACATTGTTGTCCTGACTGTTTTTCAATTGCATACAGATTTTGAGTCATATAAGTTAGCTTTGTAGAATTAAGTTTTTACTAAGTGCAGTATTCCCCAAATTGATTACCAGCCACATTCACCAACTACCTGAATGATTTACCTGTATCCCCAAATTAAATCCATCTCTAAATAATGAAACTAATTCATGTAACAGTGAGTCAGAGCCTACAGGTAGTTCTGCTTTGGAGCCATACTTATTGCTGACTTTGGAGGCTTCTATAAGCATAAACATCTTTGCCACTGCCAGATGAGCAGACATCAAAAAGAAAGGCAGAGGTTTGCTGTTTGCTAGATAGGGTGGAAGAAGGAGAGATTGCACTGGTACTTATTCTCTTACCCCAGTCCTGATTGTTTTCACTTTCCTTCTTTCAAATATGTATTAATGCTATTTCCTAAATTCTCGGAATTGGTTTCAGGTTTCCTAATGAAATTCCAGCTTTGGGGTGGTAATGAGGTAGTCAAAGTAAGCCTTTGTATCATATGGAACTCTTAGGTGTGAGGAATTGATGACTGTAGGAAGAGATGGAGTATAAGGTTATTTTTTCTTGTGATGACTGTGTGATTAAACAGTTAAATGAAATAACTAAACAAATATTAATGCCAAATTGTTCTGGTTCTTGTTGAAAACTCTCACAATCTGGGAATCTGTCTTCATATGATAAACTTGAAGATCTGATGGAGATGCAAACATGTAAATCACAGTGCAAGAGATAAATAGCAATAACTATAACAGAAATATCAGAAGGCATTTCATGATTTATTGATAATTTCTATATTTGTTTTGTATTCTACAATTGTTAAAGCATGTCCATGTGCATCATCTTATTTGCCTTTCAGAAAAACCAGGTACGTGGACTAGATATTATGCTAATTAAACAATGAGAAACAGAATACAGATTAGGAGACTCATGTGAAGTGATAATTACTAAATGTAGTACCGGGGCAAAATCAAGATATTTCTAGAAAAAAATAAACCCTAGGATTAAAACTGACATTGTCCAGAAGAAAATTTTAGGTTTTGAAATAGAAGGTGGATCCTGAAGAAGAAAGATACGGGTAGGATACTCTGGAAAAGTATGAAAATGAGAACCATCAGGCAATAGTCTAGACTGTAACTGAGCAATTGATTTTCCCTGGATCAGAAGCTTTATGTGGGGGTGTGTTGATAGAAGATTCCTGGAAAGGTTGTTTGGCGCTAGATCAGTGATTTTTCACCTGGGGGTGATTTTGCCCTTCAGGTGACATTTGGCAATGTCTGGAAGACATTTTTGGTTGTCACAACTGGAAGGTGTGAAGTGGTGCTGCTGGCATCTAATTGGTAGAAGCCACGATGTTCACAAACGTTGTATGATACACAGGTCAGCCCTGCACAGCAAAGGATTATCTGGCCCAAAGCGTCAATAGCGCTGAGGTTGAGAAACCCTGGTCTAGGTTAAGGAGGGCCAAAAATGTAGATCCAAGAAATTAGAACTTTAATTGTATATGCATTAACGAAGCCATTGAGGTTTTTTTGTTTTGTTAAGGAGGGAGTGGCTGTGTGCAGTAGAAGTAGGCCAGAGATGTCTATCTATAAAATAAATTTGATTTTATAAATTCCTTCGCAAAAATAAAACTCGAAAATGTTACCTTGTACAAGAAGGAAATTACAAAATCAGTTTGTTTTTTTTCAGGAGCATCTCTAAGAGAAGAGGTGAGGCATTTGGAAGATACTGAATGAAACCTTGTAGGCAAATATGGCTGGGCACTGTGGCTCATGCCTGTAATCCCAGCACTTTGGTAGGCCAAGGTGGGTGTATTACCTGAGGTCAGGAGTTCGAGACCAGCCTGGCCAGCATGGTGAAACTCTGTCTCTACTAAAAATACGAAAATTAGCTGGTCATAGTGGCACACGCCTGTAGTCCCAGCTACTCAGAAGGCTGAGGCAGGAGAATCGCTTGAACCCAAGAGGCAGAGGTTGCAGTGAGCTGAGAACATGATACTGCACTCCAGCCTAGGCGACAGAGCGAGATTCTCTCTCTCTCTCTCTCTCACACACACACACACACACACACACACACACACACACACACATTTTATAGGCAAATCCTTGCTAGGTGTGTGAGATAATGAGAATTCAGCTGCCAGGAAGATGGAATTGAACAGCAAATGAAAGTTTCTTTCACCTAGATGACTTGGGAGGCCTCCTGTTGCGTGCAGCAGAGCTGAAAGGGCACAGTCAGGCCGCCCAAGCCTATAAATCACCAAGATGGTTTACAGCAAGGGCAGTCTGTGCTGATGTGATCGATGCTCTCCAAAGCATCAATGGGACATTTATCACTGTGATGAGATGTGAATGCTGCCAGGGGTCATGAGAATCCTGGATTTATCAGACTATTTTCAATTCTGAATAGCTTCGACAAGTGAGTTTCCACACCCCCAGCCCCATTTTTAACCTTCAGATGCACGAGATTTCAAGTCTATGAGCTACACATGATGCAATTTAGAGGGGAACATCTGCTACTTTTGTAATGCTCTCCTAATTGCTTTTGCAGCCTTTTACTTTTCACCTATGTAATGCTTGTTTCATTCTCCCATTGAGTTTCATGTAATAAAAAGCTGGTCCCTCTCTTCTTTGCTGTTTTGCATATTCCTCTGTAAGACATTCTCATGTGAGAAAGATCATACATTAACAATATAAGGTGTCTGTTGCTTTAATAGAATACTGAGAAATGAAAGATAAATGTCAGATTGTCATTTGATGGTGTACTCTATCCCAGGATTAATTAATGCATTACTGTGCTTATGCAATACCTATTTGGATGTACTGTCTGGGAAGAATATGATTAACATGATGCAAACATCCCCCCGTCTAAAACCTGTAGGTTTTAAGTTATCTGGGACAGGCTACCATTTGCTCTAAGCAAAGACACACATTTGCTATAGCTGTAAACTGTCTTGAGGGCCAGGAAATATCAAACCTGATAGATTGTTTCAAACTAACTCAATCCTGGAAAAAGGTCAGTCTGCAAAAAAATTTATTTTTCAAAATCATGTGGCAGAGACTATCTATGTCCTGAGGCATATTCATATTAGCTCCAGGGCCAGGGGATCATCATCTTTTATTAATATTCTTGGTTTTCTGTGGTTTTCTTTCAAGCCTGGCCAGATTCATCTTCTGGACCAATGCCCATTTGCAACGGGGAGCGGGGCAGGGGGTGTAAACCTATTTTTAGTTTGTTGCATGGACTTAGAGTCTTTAAGGGAAAAGAATGTGACTGTTATTCAGGAAGCTATTTTAAACCTTTTTAGTTGAAACATTACTTAAGGAAACCACAAATGCAGTTGGAAGATGACTTAGAAAAGCATGGAGTATGGTGGGTGACCTCATTTTATTGATTTGCTGCATCAACTCAGAAGAAATATGTTGTAAATACCAAACATTAAATATGAGATAATGCAGAGTTAAACCTAAACGTAGCTATTAGAATGAGAATACTTCTGAATTTCCGTTACTTTCCTTTCTTATTAAATACATATCTGTCATTACAAAATATCCTTTAAATGTAAATGTACACTACTGGTTGGATGTTTTTCTTAATAGTATGGCCATGACATGTCCCTCATATTCTGAACATATACATATCAATATATATACCTGGAATTTTTTGGTTAGGTTTACATTTTATTTTGTTTGCTACTTTTACTTTCTAATTTTCTAGTTCAATAAATTTAAGTTAATGGTTTAGATAAAACCCAAATGTAACCAGTTAGAAATTTATAGGCCCACAATTACTTGGAAAACTTAAGTGAAATTTATATACATTGCATAGCCAATTTTGAGAAGATTATTTTTACCTTGAATAGGATTGAAAAAGGCTACACCTTGATCTGGAAAATATAAGTTTGCTATAAGGAAATTTGTCACAAAAAGAAAGTAAACTTGCCTAGGAGAAGTCTTAAAAATTATTAAGAGACCTGGAGTAATTTTGGTATTTTTCAAAATATTGCTGAAGAGTTCTTTCTGAAGAGAAAAATAACAGAAGAACTTTATATAGCACTCAGATCATATTAAATCATATTTAATGTTCTTTGTTACTGAAGTCCTTGGCTTCTATAAGCTTTGGAAACTTTGGTGCTACATAGCACTGAAAATGGTTAAATATAGTATTTATGGTAATTTCTATGAAAAGTGAGGTATTTGAACCTTGAACTTGAATGCAGTTTCCAATTATTGAATTATCTTCATCTTGCTTAATTTATGATTATAGGCCCTTCTTTGGAAAAGAAACTAGCCAAAAGAGTGTATACTATGTATTTTTTTATTGACTTTGGTTTTGGGTTCTAAAATCTAGAATCTTGTGAGAGATCAATATACTTAAACTATGTTGGTCTGTTTGGTTTAAACTATGATAAGATGATCTAAAGCTATTAGGTAACACTTCTGTCTACATAGACCTTTATGTGTCTTGTAAGAGTCATTAAATGAAAACAAAATTTTAGGCAATTTGTGCCTGTAGAGACTTGATAACTTAGTTATACAATAAAGTCCAAATTGTCAATATCTCATATTTAACATCCTATCTTTCATAAATAATAGACTTCCCTATCTAATCACTTGCTAAATCATGTTTGAATGTTTGCCAAAGTATAAGTCAGTTTGAATGAAACACTTTGCCCTTATACTGGCTTGATTTATCTTTGACACACCCTCTCAGTGTTTTTCACTGGGAGAAGATACTATTTTCTTCCCGTGTATTCAGTTTTATAAACCAGTTTGTGTAAAACAGTTATAGGTTTAATTACTATTGATGGTAATATCAGTCTGAGCTCATACTTGTAATGTCTTTCTCTATGGCCAGTCAACAGCTGGAGTTGGCCAACATCGCTTTTCACAGGGATGGCTATATTTGTTTTCTGTTGATGATGTAACAAATTATGACAAATTAGGTGACTTAAAACAGCTTGCTTTAATTACCTCAAAGTTCTGCAGGTAGAGATCAAGGTCTAGCGTGGCTCAGCTGGGTTATGTGCTTAGAATCTCAAAAGGCTGAAATCAGGATGTCAGGTGGGCTGTGTTCTTTTCTAGAGACTCTGGGGATGAGTCTGTTTCCAAGCTCGTTCTTGGCTGTCAGCTGAATTCAGTTGCTTGCTGTCTGAGGTTGCTCTTTCTTTGCTGGCTGTCAGTTTAGGCCAGTCATTCTGCTGGTGCCTGTCTGCCTTCTTTCACAGGCTTTCCGTGTGTCTTCACCCTCTACCCTCAGCAACACTGGGGTAAGTCCTTCTCACATGCCAAATCACTTCACCTGTGTTTGTTTGTTTGTTTTGCCACAACTCTCTGATTCCAGCCTGAGAAAGTTCTCTGCTTTCAAGGGCTTCTGTGAGTAGATTTGGTCCATTTGGGTAATCTGGAATTATGTCCCTATTTTAAGGGTTTTAACTTGAAAGTTCCCTTGGCCATGTGACATATTGATAGTTTCCAAGGAGTAGGGCATATGCATCTCTCAATTGCCATTCCATCTCTTAGATTGGCAATAAAAACAAACTAAAAAACTAGCATAAATTCTCTTTAGTCTCCTGCAATAGCCATTTATTTGTCACTGATCTTTATTTGCTCATTGGATATGTTGGATCATGAAATCCTACAAGTCTTCTGGATGTTTACACTATGAAAGCTTGAACCTATCTCTACTTTCTTTCCTTCGCTGTCTCTATCCTTTCATCTTCCCTTCCTTATATCATTTTACTTTTTCTCAAACCTTTTCATTTTCTATTATCTACACACTTTTCTTTGCTTCTGATTTCTGCAGTACTCACATGCAACTCAAGTGATTGTTGACTGGTAACAGAAACGTTTTTATGTCTCATTTAGCTATAATACTAAACCCAAACTGACATGAGGTAATTTATAGTCCTTACTTCAGTTAATGAGCGTTGTGTGTTTCACTTGAGGAGTATGAAGTGTCTAATTATAGCATGATGTGCTAACTCCTCAGAGTTGTGCAATATGTGGTATTTGTACCCTACTACCTTTTTAAGATCTGAAAAAATTTTAGGTTTTTGTTGTTGTTGTTGCTTTTTAGACAGAGTCTCACTCTGTCACCCAGGCTGGAGTGCAGTGGCATGATCTCAGCTCACTGCAACCTCTACCTCCCAGGTTCAAGTGATTCTCCTGCTTCACCCTCCTGAGTAGCTGGGATTACAGGTATCCACTACCATGCCCAGCTAATTTTGTTGTATTTTTAGTAGAGATGAGGTTTTGCCATGTTGGCCAGGCTGGTTTTGAACTCCTGACCTTAAGGGATCCACCTGCCTTGACCAGCCAAAGTGTTGGGATTACAGGCATGAGCCATCAAGCCCAGCCTGAAAAAGTTTTAGTTCTGAAATGATCTGATTTCAGTTGTCTTGGATAATGATAGCTTCCCAAGTGCTAGCATCCTGCATTCCAAGATGTAGCATATGGTTTTATAATCTTCTTTCCTTCTTTAAGGTGCTAGGTATCAAATAATTATTTGAAATTTAAATGAATCATATTTGACTGTGTTTTGTTCAAAGTACTTGTGAAAATTGCCCACCCGTTATGCTAATAACACACGTCACTTTGAGAACCAATGTCACAGAGCCCAACCATAGAATTGCAAACTCTAAAATTTGTTGCCAAAACTATTGAGAAGCAAAACGTGCATTAACTATGGAAGGGGGAGATATCTTTCAGGGATGTGTCTGGTTTTCAGTTAACAAAAAATTCTGGGCATTTTTCCAGAGTTTAAATTTACAGAGGCGTTAGCAACACACAAATCTGAAAGTTGGAAGATTATGCTAATTGCGGTGGATTTCCATAAGATACACTGGACTTCTCCCATGTAAGATACAAACTGTAGAGGGAAAATTTATTGTGTATATCTAGCAGCCTTGCTAGTTTACTAATTTGTTTAATTTGGTGAGAGTAAAAATAATGCTTTAACTTACTGTTTTATCTCGAATTTAGCTACTGTTAACACTTCATCTGGTTAATTTCTTCATTTGGTTTTTAGAAAGATAAAGAAAATACTTAAAAAATATACCTATATTTGACTTAAAAGTGGTTAATTTGAACAAAAGTAACAGCATTTATTTTCTGGCAATATTATGCTTTTAATATTTAAACCAAAAATCTCATACGTTGGAGGAATTACGAGTGTATTGACATTGAGTTAACTATCTCCCAGAATAAGGGGCTGTTGAGAAAATTCCCTGCTCCCACTCCTATACCTTCTGGAACTTTGTCAGATAAACTCCAGGTTAGTTATGTTAGCATAACATAATTCAGGCACTTAAATTTCTATAAGAAGTTATTCAGATCTGGCCCAGAGAGTGTTGCTTTCCCACCCAGAGGTGTATGCTCAGGGGATGAAGATGAGCTGTGAACTTGTAGCTGTTCCTTATTTGTGGTTTACCATGATTATTATTATGATTCTTCCTTTATTCCCCTGGGAGTAAAGGGGTGGTGGTAGTGGTGGTGCTGTGGTGGTGTTATGTTTTTTATATATTCTTATTGATTGATTTCTGCTCTGAAATACTTTTATTTAGATACCAAGGACACATATGAATTAAGATATTCATACTGTGGTAAATGTTTCTTGCCTAAAATATGTCCAATTCAATTTGATCAGAATACCAAATCATTTGCAATTCAGTTATAGAACTTCATGATTTTCCTTTTCTCAATTTTTCTCTTTCAGAGGCGGTAAATAGTAAAAGGAGATATAAATTTCTTTCTACTTATGCAGTACATTTTCACTTCTTTGGGAGGGGAAAACTTACAGGAATGGAAATTTCTTTATATTCTTTAGCCAGCATGATTTTTATTACCTACTAATATTTAAAAATTATTGGAATCAAAATTATCTAATTTCTTTTAAAATATTTATTTACCTTTTTTAATGTTTATCACATGTTTTTGTCCAAAAAAAAACATATCTTTTAAGCTCCATGATGAGTGTGTTTGGGGTGGGTGAAAATTATGATTCTGGCATTCCATAATTTCATTAATCTTGAAATTACCAAATAATTTTAGCCTGTTTTCATGTAATAGATTTTACATTTGATCAGATTCTTCCTCAGGTTTTGAGAACAAAGAATATTGCCTATATCAGCAGTTCTTACCATTTGGTCTGAGGATCCTTGGAGATCTCCACAATCTTTCTCAGGTCTGTAAGGTCTATGAATCTATGTGAGGCCAGATTATCTTTATTATCCTTCAACCAAAACAATACATTTCAGCAGAATCCAGCTGGCTTTTATGAAGCCAGACAGTAAGGAAATTTACAAAGATGCAGAACAATGCCACTCTTCTCACGAATTATTTATGGTTTTAAAAATGTTTAAATGTTACATGTTAGAACATAGGTACTTGTGTTCTAAGATGTAATGGCTATGGTAATGTTATTTTAAATGAACTATCAAATATTTAAAAAGTGTGTTTTTGTTTTAAGTCTTAATATGTGTTGATAGATATGACACATATAGATCACTGTGGTCCTCAGTTTTTGAGGGTTCACGGGAATTCTAAGACCAAAAATTTGAGAAGACCTGCCTTATACCCTTTTTATAAGATCTCTTTAACTTTCATGTCAACTATTTTCTTTACGCTATAGCACCTGAGTATTGGGGGCTTTATAAGGATTTTGTATGTAGATTCTGATACTTATATGAGAAAGCAGAGCATTGTGTCTGATATATTTCCAGCAACATTTAACTAGCTTAAGGGGTGGTAGTTCTGATGGAGAGATTGATGTAGAATATTGGATCTGAAAGTACTGGAATCATCAATGATTAAAGGAAGTAGAATGGTAAACAACTACACACTTATCACCTAACTTTATCAAATCTCATTATTTTGTGATATTTGCTTCAAATTTTCTTCGCACCAGGATGCCCTCTTGTTCTCAGAAATAATCATATGCTGAATTTGGTTTTTTAATCATTCTTATGCATATATTATTTTATTTCTGTATATAAATATATTACGCAGACATGCAATATATATAATTAATGTTTTTAATTCTAATTTAAAAGCTAAACTAATTTTTTTTTGCTAAATGTTATGTTTTAGAGCTATATCCATGTTATTACATGTAGCTCTACCCATTTTCCCTGTTGCAGACTGCTCTCTTATATGATCATATCTCAGTGTGCTTTTTCCTGATGATGAACATTTAGGAAGTTCCTAGTTTTATGCTTTTATAAAAATGCTGCACTAAGCATTTCTGAATAAGTTTGCTTGTGTATATGTGCAAGATTTTTCTGTAGATCCATATCTCTGAGAATGAAATTTCCAGGTAAAGGGTAGTGTATTAGTTTTCTATTGCTGCCATAATAAATGACCACAAACTCAGTGGCTTAAAAGAACACAGATATACTGTCTTACAATTTTGGAGGTCAGAAGTCTAAAATTGGTGTCACTGGGCTAAAGTCAAGGTATGGGAAGAGCTGTGTTCCTTTCCGAGTCTGTAAAGAATTGTTCCTTTGCTGCTTTCAGCTTCTAGAGGCATTCCTTGGCTTGCAGTCCCTCCTCCATTTTCAAAGCCAACTGCATCATGTCTCAAATTTCTCTTTGACTCTGGCCTTCCTACTCCTGGCTCTAATGAGGACCCTTGTGATTATGTTGGGCCCACCTAGATATTCTTTTCATCTCAGATTCTTAATCAAATCTGCAAAATCCCTTTTGTCAGCTAATGCAATTTGCACATAAGTTTTAGGGACTAGGACATGGACAGCTTTGAGAGGCATTTATTCTGCCTATCATGGGTCTAAATATCTTCAGCTTCACTGGATGTTAACATGTTGTTCTCCAAAGTTGTTTACCAAGATTTTCTCCACTAGCAGTGCAAGAATTGGTCAACTTCCTTGTCAACATTTGGTATTTGAAGACTAATCTTTTTACTCTTTTTAGGTGTAAAAGGTTTTATGTTTTTCTTACTGTTAGTAATGTTGAGCATCTTTTCATTGGTATATTGCTCTTTTGCATAATATTTTTCTTCTTACATTCTAAATGACTATCATACAAATATAGTTTGGATTATTTCAGCTAAGAATATTTGCTCATATTTCTGCCCACTCACATAGCTTTATGTGATCTTTGTACAGTTTATTTCTGAGACTGATATTATACTAGCCAGAAATACCTGGTATCATCTGCAAACTGAAAGACATTTATTAAAATGTAAAATAAAACCAATCTTAGATTTAATACTAATTGACGTTAATTCAGAGATTTGTCAGCAAACTAGCTGTGTATGTAATGCTATTCTTAAGTGTATCCCTGGTTATTAAAATGCATACATATTCTTAGGCCTATTATGGTTATACATTATTATAGCAAGGATATTGTTGCCCATTGGATTTACCCAGTATGGACTCTTTTGTTGAGCTTCTCAATTTGATGGGAGTGCTGTTTATGTCATTTTTATGGTACTTCTCATAGTCTCTTACCTGATTTTCTTTTCTTCAGTATCATGTACTGTCTGCCTAATCCATATACAGTCCAGGAGACAGACTCATCTCTTCCAAGCATCCCTTGAGGGAAATTCTCCTATACATGCTCCCATTAGATTTCATAACCTTTCTTCATTCATGAACCTTTTTAAGAATTTACAGATGTTTATAAAAATCCTTTCCCAGTATGTATTACCCTGCAAACACACATGCCATATAATCATAGTCTCAGAATGTTCGTATTCCACATATGTGGTCTATGTTTCCCAGATTTAAACATCTGACTTGCTGGATAATAATGAAACAGATTAGCCTACACATCAAATCACTGTGCCCTTTATGCTCTGACCCCTACGTACCTGCCTCTCCAGATTAATTTCCCACTACTATATTCTGCATAAACATTCCACTACTTGAAATTCTTCAAACATACTATGCTCTTCTCAGTTGAAGTTAACTCTGAGTTTCTGACTACAGGAGTCTGTCATCTATCTCTTGATGTCTGATAAGCATATTAGTAGGTAAAATATTGTTTATGTCTTTGCCAAATGCTTTAGTTAGCTTTCAATGATTTTAGTTTCCCTTTCTTTGCTCTTAGTAGTTATTTATGTGTATGAGCTTTGAAGCACTTTCATGCCAACAGCTCTGGACAAGGGAAGACTATTTCTTCTGTAACATGTAAAAACTTTTGGACAGTTATTTGCCAGTATTTAAAAATCCTATTTCTTGATTAAGTGTTTCACAAATTATAGCTTTTTAGCTTTTTTAACATCTATAAGTGTTAGGGGTTATGAAGTATAGTATAGTATAGTATAGTATAGTATAGTATAGTATAGTATAGTATAATATAGTGTTAGGGGTTATGAAGATGGGTTCTAAAATTAGGTGGACTGTATTAATCAGCAACCTGACAGTTGCAAGGTTCAGAAGATACACTGCTAGTTGGCTTACTTAAGGGTATTTTTTAAATTATGCAACCAAAATTCCAGCTGTATGTTCCCTTTAGGTATGGTTTGATCTGGGTTCCAGCACTTTTTTTTTTTTTTTTTTTTTGGGAGACTGAGTTTCACTCTTGCTGCTCAGGCTGGAGTGCAATGGCACTCGGCTTACTGTGCAACCTCTGCCTCCTGGGTTCAAGTGATTCTCCTGCCTCAGCCTACCAAGTAGCTGGGATTACAGGAGTGCACCACCACACCTGGCTAATTTTAGTATTTTTAGTAGAGATGGGGTTTTACCATGTTGGCCAGGCTGGTCCTGAACTCCTGAGCTGAGAAGATCTACCCACCTCAGCCTCCCAAAGTACTGGGATTACAGGCGTGAGCCACCATGCCCGGCCCAATTATCTTTAAGAAAAAAATAAGCATTGCTCATTTAAAGATGACTTTCTGGACAAGAGTATTTAAGATCAAGCCAGGGGCATAGATTCTCCATACATCATTCATACCTGGACTCCTAACATTTAGACATAGCTTGATTGAACAAAAAAGTAAATGAATAATTTGATACCATAATTTATGTGACAAAACCTCAGTTTCTTCATCTGAAAAGTAGACATTGTAATATCTACCCTAGAGGATTATGAATGCCAAGAGATGTGACAAGTCTGATATTTTACCCTACTTGTAAGCTAGTCAGTTAGCCCATCACATATTTGGCAAAAGAAAGACTTCTGACTCAGATACAAAGGATTTTTTTTTTTCACTCAAAACAATAGCAGTAGCAGTAGCAGTTTAGCATCCTCACTAGTTTTCTGAACCCCTATTCCCAACACAATGCAAAGAAGGCCAAATGATACCTGTGCATGCAGTGGCTTGCATTATAGAAAAGGAGCCTCAGCCAAATTAAGGAAAGGGAATCTTTTATGATGTACTCTAAGCAAACCTGCCTGACCTTTGCCTTGGACAGAAACATTATCTTTATTATACTGGACAGTAAACAAATCTGCCCTTTGCTTCAGAGAGAGGGAGTACTCTTTCTATCTTCCAAGGCTATTTTCTACCAAACATTCTTGAAAAGATGGTCCAGGGCAAAGCCTGTTAGTGCTTCTGCTTGTAAGACAGGCATAAATGTGAAGGACCAGTGGAAAATTGCCTCCAAATTATATCCACCCCTTATTTCTATACTATCTTAGTTTTTTGAATTTTCACATGAGTATGCCATTCCCTTGGCCATTCTATTTAATCTGGCTGGCAGAAGCTGGCCCAAATCTGTGTCATTTGTCTCATACGGTATTTAAGGTGAATATTAATAGGATTTCAAGTGGTTCTCACTTGAAATAGGATTTCCAGGGTCCCTACCATACCCTCCAGGACCCCAGGCCTAGCTAATCAAACCAATTCCACAAAACATCTGGGTTTATCTTAGAAAACCTAATGGCTTTCTTCTTGAGTTTCTGCATGAACCTTTCCATTTGATTTAAGGCATTAATTCAGCCACATCAGGATGCATTAATACTGAAATGAGTAAGTCTGGGACACTGCTATCATCCATAGCAACCTTGGATACTGAGCTGAGGCAGAGCTGAATAATTTCCAGGACCTACCTAGGCTGTGTCATTGATGACTTCAACTAAAGTCAGGAACAAATTTCAGACCACCTTTCTCATTAGATGGTTCTTGCAGAGAAAACTGCCCACAGATTGTGCATAAATAACAAGTCAGTTGTGCTTCTGGGAAGATCCCTCAAATAATAATGATAACCTCATTTTAGGTAGATTTCTGTAGTTATTTGAGGGTCACATGATCTTATTGGTGGTATTTCTGTAATTACTTGTCTCAAAACTCCCTGTGACTTCAACAGAACTATAACTCTAGATGATCTGGTCTTTGCTTATCTTTCCAGCTTTATATTGACCCAGGCTTTCCCTTACTATTTATGTTCTTTAAGTCCCTTATGTTTACAATGCTCCATCTAGCCACATAGCTGTTGCACAAGTTGGGCTCTCAGTATAAAATGCTTTTCCCTACCAATCTCTACCTAAGAAACATCCACTCACCCTTTGTCATTTCTATCCTATCCTTAGTATCCTGTTGTACCATATATCTTGTGCTTTTGAGGTATCTTGTACTGCTTCATAGCACTTGGCACAATTTCGGTTTACATCTATTAGAGTTAATTGATTAGTGCCTGTCTAGTGCTAAACTGTATGCTTTATGGTGCCTGGGAGTGCATTTGTTTTTGCTCCCCTTTATATTCCTGCAGCTGTCTAGCATAATGCCTGGGAAGTAGTCAGCATTCAGTAAATATTTATTAAATGGATTAATTTTTTGGTTTATTTGATACTGTTTGAACAGGATATTAGTGTCAAGCCCTTGGGCAGTTATCCTTCATGCATCAAAGGTAGCTCACCAAAATTGGCTGTGGCTTGATTGACTAGGAAAGAAGATCCAGTAGTAAGGCACCAAGTAAAACTACAGGATGGTGTGCTTAGCAAAAGAAGCAGCAAATAAGGTGGGGGAAAAAAACCCCAGAAGCACTGGGAAAAACACAGCTTGAGGCTGACAAAGATAGCATTTGCTTACCTGAAATGAGCAGCAGTCCACTCAATGGGTAGGCATCAATCAATCGAGAAGTGACTTACCTAGAGTGGTCAAAGTTATAAAGACAAGGTGTAATGGTGGTGGGCTACGGAAAAGGGAAAATAGGGAATTATTGTTTAATGAATTCCGAGTTTCAATTTGGGAAGATGAAAAAGTTCTGGAGATGGATGGTAGTAATAGTTGCCTAACAATGTGAATGTATTAATATTTAATGCCACTGAAATGTACACTTAAAAATGGTTAGGATGGTAAATTTTATGTTATGTATGTTTTGCTTCAACAAAAATTTTAGAAAATATTTTCAGACTAAGCAACTATTTTAAGATAAAGCTAAGTTTGTATGTACTGGCTGTACCACTTGTGAGCTATATGACCTTAGGAAGTTATTTAACCTCCTTGTCTCTCAATGTTTTGTCTCCTCATCTGGAAAGCCAGATAATAATAATACCTGTCTTATGGGATTATTATAAGGATTAAATGAAAGAATATCTATAAAAAGATTAGAACTTTGGAACATAAGTGCTTAAGAAATGTTAATTACTACTGTCATTTTTATTATATGTTGTAAACAAGTAAATTACAGAATCCTACGTTTTTCTTAAAAAAAAAAGTGATTTAACATATAACTAAACTCCAGCCTGCTTAGAAGGTTTAATAGTCCTTCAAGGAGCCACAGTATGGGAAATGGTGTTAGAGGATTCAATTTTTCAGTTCCTCAAGGGTTTCAGGTTGGGGAAGGTCTCAGGATGATGCCTATGAGTTGGTTCCATTCAGTCAATTGGAGAATAGTGACAATGTCCCCATGAAGTACCAGATTTCCTGGAAATTCTTTTTATTCCACTTGTATTGTTTTAGTTTTTCATTAGCGTAGTTCATTGAGTCCTTGAAATATCAATCATTTTCCCACTTGGCTGTAAGTTGCTAAAAGTCGGACACTCTATTTATTCTCTGGATCCAAATTGGCTAGCATAGTTCCTGGGATGTACTGAATAGGAATCCCATGCACTGTTGTCATGTGAGCTCTGTAGAGAAACTTTCAAGTTTCAATCAAGCTCTGCCTCTTCTTGCTGTATAACCTTGGAACTTTATTGCATTTCTCCTAGCTTCAGCTTCCTCATAGAGATTATAAAGCTCAAGGTCTTATGAGAAATGTATGAGATAATGTTTAGGAGCACTTAGGAAGTGCCTGGCATATATTTAGTGCTCAATGAATGTTAAATTTTATCTTTAGTGTCCTAATAGCACATTCTCTCCTCATTTTGGTTAGAGATTGAGAATTGTGAAAACCTGTTGGAACATTAATAGCTACGTGTAATAGAAAGTCAGAAGACTCACCTGGATGTTTTTCCTTCCAGTGGTGACTCAGGAATCTAGAATTCTATCTTGTGGATCCATGTCCTAGAGTCTCCTTGGAATTCGTAACTGTATCCTGGGGGTCAAGTATAGGAGTAATATAATTCCCATGTAATTCCCAGCTCCCCATGTTCTATTAGCCAACATTCAGTCACATGACCCCATATAGAAACAGGTACAAGAATACTAAATAACTAGTCTTATGTGCCCAGAAAATAGTATGAGGAATTGTTTCTATTATAATAGATTTCATCAATAATTACTAAATGTCATCTAAGATTCACTTATAATAATATGTTCACTGCACTTAATATAGTTTTATTAATAATGTTTTTTTTATTACCTGTGTTTCACAAATTGACTGGGATGGATATATCCTGCCTATGGGTAGATTCAATCTGACAGCTGAAGAACAGCGGGAAAGATGACAAAAGCTAAAGACCTGCTTCCAAACTCACACCATGGAATTGCTGAAGCTGTTTTTGTCTTGGAAACCATAAGAACTGCAGATATATTTTATTATGAACTCTGTTGATTTTCTTTAAACTCTCCTTTGATTTAATTGTACGTTTAAATAGATCCCATTTTAGGCATTAATAAGCTTCAGAAGCTTCATATTTGACTTTGAGATTCTAGTTAACCTAAAGCTTTTTCTAGTAAGAACATACATAGTACATCTTATTTGTTAGCTAAACGATAAGCTTTTAGCAGTTATTTCTCAAGAGACTACTGCTCCACAGGTCAGAATATATCTATATTCCACCAAGTAGAGGTACTTAATTCTTACAGTAAGGCAGTTGACTGTGTTGGTTTGACATCCGCTACGTCTTTGACATTATTTTTAGTCATTCTTTATTCTTTATATTCTTAATTCATTTGATGAACAAGGTTTTGGATTCCCTAAGCTAAGGGGAAAAAAATGCCTGAGTGTCCTCCTTATTGCTTTTAAACCTCAGGGATTATCAGATGCTTTACAACTCTGCTAAGCTCAAGGCAATTTAATAACTTGCATACTCCAAATTATAAGAACATATAAAACAACTAGGACAGTAACAGCTTAAGTAGGACATTTCCTTTCTAAATACTCAGAAGTAGCCACATTAGACTGAGTTAAAATAGAACTAAGACTCTACTCTATGCCTTACCCTTGTAATTGCTTAAGACTCTGTGAAACTATTTGTAGTGATTGGCTCATTTACCTTTGAGTCTTATCAAGTGTTTTCTGGCATATCATCAAAAGTATATATGATATGTGTGTATTGGAGGAGGGGAGGCAGAACAAGATGACCAGATAGAAGCCACCACTGATCATCTTTCCTGCAGGAACACCAGACTTAACAACTGTCTACACAAAAAAGCATGAGAACCAAGAATCAGGTGAGGGATCAGAGTACCTGGTTTTAACTTCGTATTACTGAAAGCGACACTGAAGAGGGTAGAAAAGACAGTATTGAATTGTTGACACCACCCCTCCCTCATCCTCCAGCAGTGGCTGCATGGAGCAGAGAAACTGCACTTGAGGGAGGGAGAACAAAGCAATTGCAGGACTTTGCATTGGAACTTAGTGCTGTAACAATGGAAAGCAGCACTGAGCAGAACTCAGCCAGAGACCATGGAAGAGCGTTTATACTAGCCCTAGCTAGCGGGACAACATTTATCTCAGCGGTTGGAACCTGAGTTCCAGCAAGCCCTACCACTGTGGGCTAAAGGGCTCTGGGGTCCAAAATAAACTTGAAAAGCAGTCTAGGCCACAAAGACTGCAATTCCTGGGCAAGTCCTAGAGCCATGCTGGGCTTGGAACCTGTGGATTTGGGGGCCATGTGACCTAATGAGGCACCAGCCAGGGTGGCTTGCATCACCTTTTCCCCAACCTCAGGCAGCACAGCTCACAGCTTCAGGAGGGAATCCTTTCTTCTGTTTGAAGAGAAGAGAGGGAAAAGTAAAGAGAACTTTGGCTTGCAACTTGTGTACCTGCTTAGCCACAGTATATAGGGTATCAGGCAGAGTCCTTGGGCCCCTATTCCAAGCCCTAGCTCCTAAACATCTCTAGACATACCCTGGGCTAGAAGGTAACCTGCTGCCTTGAAGAGAAGGACCCAGTCCTAGCAGGATTCATCACCTGCTGACTAAAGAGCCCTTGGTCCCTGAATAATCAGCAGTGGTATCCAGGCTGCATTCATCATGAGCCTTGAGTGAGACTCTGAGATGTGTTAGCTTCAAGTGTGACCAAGCATATTTCTAGCTGTGGTAGCTATGGGGAGGGAATCCTTCCACTTGGAAAAAAGGAGAGGGAAGAGTAAAGGGGACTTTGTCTTGCAGCTTAAGTACCAGCTTGGCCACAGTGGGGTAGACCATTAAGTGGGCTCTTGGATGGCATTTCTGGACCTGCCCTGGGCCAGAGGGGAGCCCACTGCCCTGAAGGGAGTGTTCCAGGCCTGACAACATTCATCACAAGCTGACTGAGGAGCTCTTGGGCATTGAATGAACATCAGTGATAGCCAGGAAGTGCTCACTGTGGGCCTGGGGTGGTGGTGGCCATGGGAAGACACTTCTCTGCTTGTGGAAAAGAGAGAGAAGAGTGGGAAGTACTTTGTCTTGTGACTTGGGTGTGAGCTTAGCTGCAGTAGAATACAGCACTAGGTAGATTCCTAAAGTTTCCGACTCTAGGCCTGGGCTTCCAGATGAAATTGTTGCCCTGAAAGGAAGAAGGCAAGCCAGACTGGCTTCACCACTTGCTGATTGTAGAGCCCTACGGCCCTGAGTGAACAAAGATGGTAGTCAGGCAGTGGTTACCACGGGCCTGAATGAGACCCAGTGCTGTGCTGACTTCAGGTATGACCCAGTACAGTTCCAGTGGTGGTGACCACAGGGGTGCTGTGTCACCCTGCCCCAGCTCCAGGCAGCTCAGCACAGAGAGGGTGAAACTCTATTTGTTTGGGAGAAACTAAGGGAAGAGAGTAAGAGTCTGTCTGGTAATTCAGATAATTTTTCCAGATTTTATCCAAGTCCACCAAGGCACTACTTCTATGAGTCTGCAAGAGCCACAGTGTTACTGGACTTGGGGTGACAGCTCATGCAAATGTGCGGCAGTGATCAAAAACTTACATCAAATACCCAAGTCCCTTTGAATACTTGGAAAGCCTTCCTAAGAAGGACAGGTACAAATAAAACCAAACTGCAAAGACTATAATAAATACCTAACTCTTCAATGCCCAGACACTAACAAATATCCTCAAGCATGAAAGCCACCCAGGAAAACATGACCTCACCAGTTGAACTAAATAAGGCACCAGTGACCAGTCCTGGAGAGACAGAGATATGTGATCTTTTAGACAGAGAATTCAAAATATCTGTTTTGAGGAAGGAAACCAATAAAATTCAAGGTAATACAGAGAAGGAATTCAGAATCCTATCAGGTAAATTTAACAAAGAGATTGAAATGACTAAAAAATAATCAGGCATAAATTCTGGAGTTGAAAAATGCAATTGACGTGCTGAAGAATGCACCAGAATCTCATAATAGAAGAGTTGACCCAGCAGAAGAAAGAATTAGTAGCTTGAAAACAGGCTTTTTGAAAAGACAGTCAGAGGTGACAAAATAAAAAAAATGAAAAAGAGTGAAGCATGCCTGAAAGATCTAGAAAACAGCTTCAAAAAGGCAAATCTAAGAATCATTGGCCTTAAAGGGGAGGTAGTGAGAGAGCAGGGGTAGAAAGTTTATTTAAAGTGATAGTAACAGAGAACCTCTCAAACCTAGAATAAGATATCAGTATTCAAGTATAAGGAAGTCATAGAACACCAAGCAGATTTAACCCAAATAAAACTACCTCAAGACATTTAATTATCCTTGATATTTGGGAGTTTGATTATGAAAACATTCTAAAAGCAACAAGAGAAAAGAAATAACATAAATTGGAGCTCCATAATGTCTGGCAGTAGACTTCTCAGTGGAAACTTTACAGGCCAGGAAAGGGTGGAATGATGTTATTTAACGTGCTGAAGGCAAAACACCTTTCTCCCAGAATAGTGTATTCAGTGAAAATATCCTTCAAAAACAAAGAAGAAATAAAGACTTTTCCAGACAAACAAAAGCTGAGGGATTTCAACACCAGACCTGTCCCACAAGAAGTGCTAAAGGGAGTCCTTCAATCCAAAAGTAAAGAATGTTAATAAGCAATAAATCATCTGGAGGCACAAAACTCACTGTTAATGTAAATACATAGAAAAGCATACAATATTATAACACCATAATTGTGGTTTGTAAACTACTCATATCTTGAGTAGAAAGATGAACCAATGAACTGAACAAAAATGATAACTTTTTAAGACATAGCCAGTACTATATGATATAAATAGAAACAATAAAAAGTTAAAAAGTGAGGGGGGGGGATGATATTAAAGTGCAGAGTTTTTATTAGTTTTCTCTTTGCTTTTTTGTTTATACAATCAGTGTTAAGGTGTCATCAGTTTAAAATAATGGATTATAAGATACTACTTGCAAGCCTTATGGTAACCTCAAATTTAAAAAAATGTACAACAGACACACAAGAAAGAAATTAAAGCATAGTATCACAGAAAATCACCTTTATTAAAAGGAAGACAAGAAGAAAGGAAAGAAGAAAGAGAAAACCACAAAATCACCTTTACTAAAAGAAAGACAAGAAAAAAGGAATAGAAAACAACAAAATGGCAAGGATTTATTATTATTAAGTTCTTATTATTGATAAGGACTTGTTAAGTTCTTACTTATCAATAATAACATTGAATGTAAATGTACCAAACTCTCCAGTCAAAGGATAGAGAGTGGATAAATGGGTTCAAAACACAAGACCCAACGATCTGTTGCTCACAAGAATCACACTTCAGCTATAAAGACATGTGTAGACTGAAAATAAAGGGATGGAAAGAGATATTTCATGCAAATGGAAAGTAAGAAAAGCAGGAATAGCTATACTTATGTCACATAAAATAAATTTCAAGACAAAAACTATAAAATGAGACAGAGAAGGTCTTTATAGAATGATAAAGGGGTCAAGTCAGCAAGAGGATGTAACAATTTTAAATATATATTCACCCAACACTGGAGCACCTAGATATATAAAGCAAATATTACTGGATCTAAAGAGAGGCACCCCAGTGCAATAATAGCTGGAGACTTCAACACCCCACCTTCAGCATTGGACAGATCATATAGACAGAAAATCAGTAAAGAAACATTGGACTTATTTTGCACTATAGACCAAGTGGTCCTAATAGATATTTACAGAACATGTTATCCAAGAGCTGCAGAATACACCTTCTCTTCAGCACATGCATCATTCTCAAGGATAGACCATATGTTAGGGCACAAAACATATCTTACAAAATAAAAAAGCCTGGATTGATTCCACATCTCTGCTATTGTGAATAGTGCTTAAAATAAAAGTTAAAAAATGGAATAATATCAAGCATCTTCTCTGATCACAGTGGAATAAAACTAGACATCAATAGTAAGAGGAATTTTGGAAACTATTTAAACATATGGAAATTAAACTATATGCTCCTGAATGACCAGTGAGTCAATGGAGAAATTAAGAAGGAAATTTAAAAATTTCTCAAAAGAAATGACAATGGAAACAAAATATACTAAACCCTATAGGATACAGCAAAATCAGTACTAAGAGGAAAGTTTATTGCTATAAATTCCTACATCAAAAAAGTAGAAAAACTTGAAATAAACAACCTAGTGATGCATCTTAAAGAACTGGAAAAGCAAGAGCAAACCAAATGTAAAATTAGTAGAAGAAAAAAATACTAAAGGTCAGAGCAGAAATAAGTAAAATTGAAACAAAGAAAACAATACAAAAAACCAATAATATGAAAACTTGGTTTTTTGAAAAGATAAAACCAAAAAACCTTTAGCCAGACTAAGATAACAGAGAAATCCCAAATAAATCAGAGATGAAAAAGGAGATGTTACAACTGAAATTAACAGGATAATTAGAGGCTACTATGAGCAACTATATGCCAAAAAATTGGAAAACCTAGAAGAAATGGATTAATTCCTAGACACCTACAACCTACCAAGGTTGAGCCATGAAGAAATCCACAACTTGAACGAACCAATAATAAGTAACGAGAGTGAAGCCATAAGAAAAAGTCTTCCAGCAAAGAAAATCCCAGGACCCAATGGCTTCACTGCTGAATTTTACCAAACTTTAAAGAACTAATACCAAATCCTATTCACACTATTCTGAAACACAGGGGAAGAGGGAATACATTCAAACGCGTTCTATGAAGCCAATATTACCTTGATACCAAAACCAGTCAAAGACACACCCAAAACAAACAAACAAGCAAACAACACACACACACACACACACACACACACACACACACACACACAAACCAAAACAACTACAGACCAATATCCCTGATGAAAATTGATGTAAAAATCCTCAACAAAATACTAGCAAACCAAATTCAACCACACATGACAAAGATCATTCATCATGACCAAGTGGGATTTATCCCAGAGATGCAAGGATGGTTCAACATATGCAAATCAATTGATGTGATACATCATATGAAGAGAATGAGGGGCAATAACCATATACGATTATTTCAATTGTGCTGAAAAAGCATTTGATAAATTTCAATGTTAATTCATGATAAAACCCCTCAAAAACAGGATAGAAGGAACATAACACAATAAAAGCCATGTATGACAGACCCACAGCTAGTATCAAACTGAATGGGGACTTCCAAGCCTTTCCTCTAAGATCTGGACCATGACAAGGATATCCACTTTCAACACTTTTATTCAACATAGTACTGGAAGTCCTAGGTAGAGCAGTCAGACAAGGGAAAGAAATACAGGCCATCTAAATTTGAATGGAAGAAGTCAAATTATCTTTGTTTGCAGGTAATATGATCTTATGTTTGCAAAAACCTAAAGACTCCAGCAAAAAACTATTAGAACTGATAAACAAATTTAGTATAGTTGCAGAATATGAAATCAGCGTACAGAAATCAGTAACATTATTGTATCCCAACAGTGAACAATCTTAGAAATCAAGAAAATAATCCCATCTACAATAGCTACATAAAATTAAATATGTAGTAATTAACCAAAGAAGTAAAAGATCTCTACAATAAAAATGATAAAACATTGAAAGAAGTTCAAGAAGACACAAAAAAAGCAAAAATATTCCATGTTAATGGATTGGAAGAATCAATATTGTTAAAATGTCCATATTAACCAAAGCAATCTACAGATTCAATGCAATCTCCATCAAAATTCCAATTAGATTCTTCACAGAAATAGAAAAAAACAATTTTAAAATGTAAGTAGAACCAGAAAAGACCCAGAATATCCAAAGCTGTCTTGAGAAAAAGGAACAAAACTGGAGGAATCACATTATCTGACCTCAAATTATGCTGTAGACCCACAGTAAACAAAACAGCACAGTACTGGCATAAAAGCACACACATAGACCAATGGAACAAAATAGAGAACCCAGAAACAAACCCATACATCTACAGTGAACTCATTTTCAACAAAGGTACTAAAGAACATACACTGGAGAAAGGACAGTCTCTTCAATTAATGGTGCGGGGAGAACTGGATATCCATATGCAGAAGAATGAAACTAGATTGCTGTCTCTTGCCACATACAAGAATCAAATAAAAATGGATTAAAGACTTGAATCTAAAACCTCAAACTAAGAAACTATTAAAAGAAAACATTGTAGAAACTCTCCAGGACATTGAACTCGGTAAAGATTTCTTGAGTAATACCTCTCAAGCACAGGCAACCAAAGCAAAAATGGACAAGTGGCATCGTATCAAGTTAAAAAGCTTCTGCACAGTAAAGGAAATAATCAACATAGTAAAGAGACAACCCACAGAATAGGAGAAAATATTTGCAAACTATCCATCTGACAAGGGTCTAATAATCAGAACATACAAGGAGCTTAAACAACTCTATATGAAAGAAGTCTAATAATCTGATCAAATAATGGGCAAAAGATCTGAATAGACATTTCTCACTCAAAAGGAGACTTGAAAATGGCAAACAGGTATATGAAAAAGTGCACTAAATTGGAGAAATGCAAGTGAAAACTACAATTAGATACTATCTCATCCAAGTTAAAATGGCTTTTATCCAAAAGACAGGCAATAACAAATGCTAGAAAGGATGTAGAGAAAAGGGAACCCTTGTATAGTGTTAGTGGGAATGTAAATTAGTACCACCACTATGAAGAACAGTTTGGAGGCTCCTCAAAAAATCTAAAAATAGAGGTAGTGTATGATCCAGCAGTCCCACTGCTAGGTATATACCCAAAAGAAAGGAAATGAGTGTATCCAAGAGATATCTACTCTACTGTGTTTCTTGCAGCTATTCATAATAGCCAAGTTGTGGAAGAAACCTAAGTGTCCATCAAAGATAAATGGATAAAGAGAATGTGGCACTTATAGACAATAGAGTACTATTCATCCACAAAAAGGAATAAGACTTTGTCATTTGCAACAACATGGATGGAACTGGAGTTCAATTATGTTATGTGAAACAAGCCAGACATAGAAAGAGAAATTCTGCATGCTCTCACTTATTTGTAGGGGCTAAAAATGAAGACAGTTGAGCTCATGGAGATAGAGAGTAGAATGATGGTTACCAGAGGCTGGGAAGGGTAATGAAAAGGTGGGGGATGGGAGGATGGTTAATGGCAATGGGCCCCAACATTTTTGGCACCAGGACCAGTTTTATGGAAGGCAAATTTTCTACTAATGGGGGAGGGGGAATGAGAGGGGATGGTTTTGCGATGAAACTGTTTCACTTCAGATACCTCATATCATCAGGTGTTAGATTCTCATAGGGAATGCACAACCTAGATCCCTCACATGTGCAGTTCACAATAGGGTTTGCCATCCTATGAGAATCTAATGCCGCTGCTGATCTGACAGGAGGCAGCGCTCAGACTGTAATGCTCATTGACCCGCTGCTCACTTTCTGCTTTGTGGCCCAGTTCCTAACAGGCCACGGACCAGTACCAGTCCCTGGCCCCTGGGGATTGGGGACCCCTGGTTTATGGATAGAAAAATACAGAATGAATAAGATCTAGTATTTGATAGGACAATAGAGAGACTTTGGTCAATAATAATTTAATTGTACATTTTAAAATAACTGAAAGTGTATTATTGGATTGTTTGTAACACAAAGGATAAATGCTCTAGTTGATGAATATCTTATTTTACTTGATGTGATTATTATGCATTATGTGCGTGTATATATATATCAAATATCTCATATACCCCATTAATATATATATATACCTACTGTGTACTCACAATTTTTTTAAGTATATGTGATGCATGGATAGTTAGAGTTATATGTGGGAGAATTAGATCTGATTTATAAGGTTACGTTAATATATCCCTCTCTTAGGGGCATGCATATTTGTTAATACTAACTCCTGGTTGAGGAATTTCTGCTCTGGGATCAAGTGGCACAAGAGTTTCGTGTAAGCCTTAAGTTTTAATCTCATTGATTTTGGTGAGCTCAAAATCTATATGATAAAATTGCAATATGCCTGGTGGGTGTTCTTGTGTTAAGGTTTGTGAAATTAGGATTAAAGACTCACATTTTTGTATATATTTCCCTCTAAGCCATATTCTTATTATTTGTCCCAAGAACTCCCTTTCTTTGACTTACATCTACCCCATGCCCTTGGTAACCACTGTGTGATAATGCAGCATTTTGCTTTCTATGTCTGGCTTATTTCGCTTAGCATAATATCCTACAGGTTCATCCATGTTCTGGCAAATGCAGAATTTCCTTTTTAAAGGCTGAATAATATTTTAGTGTGTGCATGTTTGTGTGACTATATCTCACAGTTTCCTTATTCATTCACCTGCTGATGGATACTTTGGTTGTTTCCATATCTTGTGTATTGTGAATAGTGCTTCAATGAACATGGGAGTGCAGATATCTTTACAGGATGATTTTCATTTCTTTTGAGTATATATCCAGAAGAGGAATTGCTGAGTCTTACAGTAGTTCTAGCTTTAATTTCTTTAGGAACTTCCATATGCTTTCCATAATGGCGTCACCAATCTACATTCTCCCCAACAATGTACAAGGGCATCCTTTTCTCCACATTTGTGCCAATACTTTTTACATCTTGTCTTTTTGATAATAGCTGTCCTTACTGGTGTGAGGTGATATCTCATTGCAGTTTTGACTTGCATTTCCCTGATGTTTAGTGATGTTGAGCATCTTTGCATGTAACTGTGGGCTATTTTTATATCTTCTTTAGAGAGATGTCTATTCAGATCCTTTGGCTTACTTGTTTTTATGCCATTGGACAGTGTGAACTCATTATATATTTTGGATATTAACAATTTATCAGATATATGATTTGCAAATATTTTTTCCCAATCTGTAGGCTGTCTTTTCATTTTGTTAATTGTTTCCTTTGCTGCACAGAAGCTTTTTAGTTTGATGGAGTCCCATTTATTTATTTTTGCTTTTGTAGCCTGAGCTTTTGGTGTGCTATCCAAAAAGCATTGCCTAGACCAATGTCAAGAGGCTTCTCCCCTGTTTTCCTTCAAGGAGTTTCATGGTTTCAGGTCTTAAAGTTAGGTCTTGTATCCATTTTGATTTTTATGTAATGTATAAGAGCAAGAACTCCTGAAAAAGGGCTGAAGTTGAAGTTCAAGTTTTCTAAGTTTTCTACTCATGGTTGCCAAGTATCTCTTTATTCAGTTGTATTTAGTGACCACGTCTAGGAGTTACAACATGTAACTAAGATAATCTTAAAGGAGGTTGTTTATCAGCAGGAAACTTACCATCCAGTAAGATGTCATGGGCATATTTTTGTCAATAGGACCTTCCTGAACTGTGGCTAGAACCCGAGGGTTCAGAAAGAATGGCAGTGTTGTTTTTCTTTTATTTATTTTTTTCTCAACATGTTGTATTTTTGTGTTTTATGTGCGCTTAACAGCTCTGTGTGCAGTTTTATTTACTTCTAAACTAAGCAAATAAAACAAACTCTGGGATAAAGTGCTAAGGGAGTGAGCCACAGGGAACACATTATACTGAGGTGCTTCACTCCATGGGCTCTGGCTGCCAATTTGCTTCCAAGTGCAATTCAGGAAGCTGGTTATGGTCTATCAAGCCCTAGATAATCTGGGCCTTGTTCACCCCGATAATTAGCTCTTTCTTTTTATACCATCACCACCATTAATCATGACCCATCATTCTCATGCAGTATATGGGGATGTTCTGCAGTACCTCATTCGATGAGCTCTTTGTACAACAATGCTCCACTTGTTTGTAATGAGAGGCAGTGTAGAGTAGTGGTTATGAGCTGGACTTTGTGATACTGGGGTTCCAACTTCAGCTTCAACTATTATGCGGTAACAGTTGTGGGATGTTGGTCAACTTATTACAGTTACTGGTACTGTTAACTATAATAGCAAACACATACACTACTATGTGTGAGATACTGTTCTACCTTTTAACAAACATTAATTTTTAAGTTATTACTCCCAACCCTATCTCACAGGAATTGTTATTATTATCTCCATTTAATAGATGATAAAACCAAGAAAAATTACTGAAACTCTGATTCTTAGATTCTTTAACTGGAAAGTGAGAATAACAAGAGTACTAGTACTAACTTAATAATAATGTGATAACAGGAACAGAAAACTAAACACCTCATGTTCTCACTCATAAGTGGGAGTTGAACAATGAGAACACAGGGACTTAGGGAAGGGAACATCACGCACTGGGGTCTGTTGAGGGGTGGGGACAAGGGGAGGGAGAGCATGAGGACAAATACCTAATGCATGTGGGGCTTAAAACTTAGATGACAGGTTGATAGGTATGGTAAGCCACCATGACACATGTATACCTATGTAATAAACCTGCACATTCTGCACTTGTATCCCAGAACTTAAAGTAAAATAAATAACAATTATGTGATAAGGATTAAATGAGATTTTAAAAATATGCTGCCTTTTATTAAACATGTACTCAATATTAGCTATTAATGTGATAGTGTATCTGGTATAAATATTACGGTAAATATATATTTTCCCACTAAATATGTATGTATAAATATATATAATATATAATTTTTATATATTATAAAAGCTTTTAAATCTTCTTGGAAAAGTGACCAAGTCTGATGTATTTTGAATTGATACTTTGGGTGTTCTATTATCACTTGAGATAATATAAAAGTATGTGTATGGATGTATGTTTTGTACCTTGTTTTTAATCTAAAACCATCCATTTCATCCATGTGGACAAGGAAATCACTTTTTTTTGCTTATTTGAGGGGAGAGTCATTGTTAACTCCCAGATTCATGGGAATTTTGGCATCTGTGAGGGTTTTTGAGCAGTGATTCTATTTTGCTCTAGATATGACAACCGTCAGAGGAAGATGTCCATTGCATGAGTGTGTTCTATGGCTGAGACCTAATAGAGCACTTTCTATGGAAAGTATATTTAATATTTGGAAGAGCTCAGATGAAACACATGCATTTAATAATCTACCGTACTTCAATTCTTCTATTTTAGTTGTTTAAAAAAGGAGAGGAAAAGTACTTGCTATTTGGAAAACTCTTCATGTTTTACCATGCCCTTGTCATTATAATATTGTCCAGTTATTTCACGTTTTGGAAATGGACCATAGAAGCAGTCATTTAACTGGATTTGTGTATAAACATTCAGCAACTGTAATGAAATCAATGTTTTATCTGGTTTTCTAAGATCACATGATATCTTTGTATGTGGTTAAAGTACTTAGAAAGAAAACACCACCTAATCAAAAGAAATCTGATAATCATTTCCCATATCTGAATCTTCTGTCCCAACTTGTTTGCAAAAATTAAGGCACCCGAACATTCATTTTAACTTTGTTTGGTTCATTGTTTAGTTGCACATTTTCAATGCTAAAGCTGCTCTTTAACCTAACCTCTTATGTGATAATTATTAATTATTTTCTCCAAGTTGTTTGTGGACCCACAGATCCATGATAATAATTAGATTGTTGATAGTAAGAGAAAAATCAGAAGGAAGGATAAAATATTGAAAATTTGACTCCCTATAGCAGATTGACCCACTTTATTGAGAATAACAGTACACTGTAGAGTGAAAAAATGGGGAGGTCACTATCATAGACTGGGGTGGCCAGGGTAGAAAAAATATAAAGGGAAGATGGTCGAATAGGGACAGCTCCAGTCTACAGCTCCCAGCATGAGCAATGCAGAAGATGGGTGATTTCTGCATTTCCAACTGAGGTACCAGGTTCATCTCACTGGGGCTTGTCAGACAGTGGGTGCAGCCCATGGAGTGTGAGCCGAAGCAGGGCCGGGAATTGCCTCACCAGGGAAGCGCAAGGGGTCAGGGGTCAGGGAATTCCCTTTCGTAGCCAAGGGAAGCCATGACAGATGGTACCAGGAAAATTGGGACACTCCCACCCTAATACTGCGCTTTTCCAACCGTCTTAGCAAATGGCACACCAGGAGATTATATCCCATGCATGGCTTGGAGGGTCCCACACCCACAGAGCCTTGTTCACTGCTAGCACTGCAGTCTGAAATTGAACTGCAAGGCTGTGGACGAGGCTGGGGGAGGGTTGTCTGCCATTGCTGAGGCTTGAGTAGGTAAACAAAGCGGCCGGGAAGCTCGAACTGGGTGGAGCCCACCACAGCTCAAGGAGGCCTGCTTGCCTCTGTAGACCCCACCTCTGGGGACAGGGCATAGCCAAACAAAAGGCAGCAGAAACCTCTGCAGACTTAAATGTTCCTGTCTGACAGCTTTGAAGAGAATAGTGGTTCTCCCAGCACGGAGTTTGAGATCTGAGAATGGACAGATTGCCTCCTCAAGTGGGTCCCTGACACCTGAGGAGACTAACTGGGAGGCACCTCCCAGTACGGGCCAACTGACACCTCATACGGCCGGGTGCCCCCCTGAGATGAAGCTTCCAGAGGAAGGATCAGGCAGCAATATTTGCCATTCTGCAATATTTGCTGTTCTGCAGCCTCTGCTGGGGA